>NW_019805501.1:0-116753 GCF_000001405.40 Homo sapiens | reverse complement strand
GGGCATGGTGGCGCGTGCCTGTAATCCCAGCTACTCAGGAGGCTGAGGCAGGAGAATTGCTTGAACCGGGACCCGGGAGGTAGAGGCAGCAGTGAGCCAAGATCGTGCCACTGCACTCCAGCCTGGGCTGCAGAGCGAGACTCTGTCTCAAAAAGAATTGCTCAGGTGATAAAGGACATGAATATTTTTAAAAATTTATTCTTTAAATTAATATATCATAAAGCTCATTCTTTTGGAGTACAGTTCCACGAGTTTTTAAGAAATGCACAGATCTGTAACCATCACCATAGGAGAGTTCCATCACCTCCCCATATTCCCTTGAGCAGCCTCTTGGCCCCTTGTAGTTAAACCCTACCCTCAACCTATCCCTGTTTCCCTTTTGTTTAACCTCTGGTGACCTCTGAGCTGTTCTCTGCCCCTATATTTTTGCCTCTTCCAGAATGTCACCTAAATGGACTCATGCAGTATGTAGCCTTTTGGATCTAACTTCTTTCTACTTGGCGTCATGCATTTCAGAGAACTTCATTATGTTGCAAGTGTCAACAGCGTGTTCCTTTTTAAGGCTGAGTAGCATTCCATCGTGTGGATACACCACAATTTGTTTACTTTCACCAGTTGAAGGACATTTGTGTTGTTTCCTGATTTTTCAGCAATTATGAATGAAACGTCTATCAATATTGGCATACAGGCTTTTGTGTAAACATATGTTTACATTTCTCCTGGCTAAATACCCGGGAGTGAGATGGCTGGGTCATGTGATAGGAAACCTCCAAACCGTTTTCTAAAGCGGATAAGCCGTTCTTCAGTCCCAGCAGAGTTCTAGTTGCTCTGCACCCTCACTAGCCCTTGGCCTCATCACTTTTTTGTTTTGTTTTGTTTTTAAAACTTGAGCCATTCTAATGAGTGTAGTAGTGGTCTCTGGTGACTTTCATTTGTATTTCCCTAATGACTAATGATGTCGAGCATCTTTTCATGTGCTCATTTGCCATCTGTACATCTTCTTTGGTGTCAAAATCTTTTGCTTGTTTTTTAATCCATTTGTTTAATTATGGTAGAGTTTTGAGAGGCTTTTTATTTTGAGATGGAGTGTGGCTCTGTTGCCCAGGCTGGAGTGCAGTGGCGCAATCTCGGCTCACAGCAACCTCCGCGTCCCAGGTTCAAGCAATTCTCCTGCCTCAGCCACCCGAGTAGCTGGGACTACAGGCACACGCCACCCTGCCTGGCTAATTTTTGTATTTCTAGTAGAGACGGGGTTTCACCATATTGGTCAGGCTGGTCTTGAACTCCTGACCTCAGGTGATCCACTTGCCTCAGCCTCCCAAAGTGCTGGAACTACAAGTGTGAGCCACTGTGCCCGGCCCCGAGAGTTCTTTTTCTGTATTCTGCATAGAGGACCTTTGTCAGATATGTGATTTGCATTTCTTTTTCTCCCAGTCCCTGGCTTGCCTTTCCCTCTTCTTAACAGTGCCTTTGGAGATCGAAAGTTTTTAATCTTGATGAACTGCCAATTTATCAGTTTTTCTTTTTTTTTGTTTTATGAATTGTGCTTTTGGTGTTACGTCTAAGAATTTTTTGCATAACTTAAGTTTGCAAAGGTTTTCTCCTATTTTTTTTTTCTAAAAGTTTTACGTTTTACATTTAAGTCTACTATCTATTTGAAGTTTCAAAAAAATATGGTGTCAGGTAGAGTTCAAGGTTGAGTTTTTTTTTTTCATATGGATGTTAAATTGTCCCAGCAGCATTTATTGAAAAGACTGTATTTTCTCCATTGAATTAACCTTTCGCTTTTGTAAAAAGTTCGTGAGCCATATTTGTTTGGTTCTGTTTTTGGACCCTTCATTCTGATTCATTGGTTTTTGTGCGTATCCTTTCTCCTTTCACATTTTAGAATCAGCTTGCCAATATCTACAAAAAATCCTAATGGCACCAGGCGTGGTGGCTCACGCCTGTAATCCCAGCACTTTGGGAGGCTGAGTCGGGTGGATCGTTTGAGGTCAGGAGTTTGAGACCAGCCTGGCCAACATGGTGAAACCCCATCTTTACTAAAAATACAAAACTTAGCTGGGTTTGGTGGTGCGCGCCTGTAATCCCAGCTACTTAGGAGGCTGAGGCTAGATAATCGCTTGAACCCGGGAGGCGGAGGTTGCAGTGAGCAGAGATTGCACCCCTGCACTCTGGCTTGGGCGACAAAGCAAGACTCCATCTCAGAAAAACAAATCCCAATGGGATTTTGACTGGGGTTGCACTGAATCCATAAACCAATTTGGAGGAAATTGACATCTTAATAAATATAGAGTTTTCCATTTTATGAACATGGTATATTCTCCAAAGTCTTTGATTTCCTTTATCAGTGTTTTGTGGTCTTCATCATACATACTCTACCGTTGGTTAGATTTATACCTCTAAGTGTTTTATGGTACTATTTTAAATTATACTGTATTTTAAATTTCTAATTGCTCATTGCTAGTATATAGAAATATAATTGACTTTGTATGTGCTAGCCCTGTATCCTCCAACCTCACTAAACTCATTTATTGGTTCTAAGAATTTTTTGGTAGATTCCTTGGAATTTTCTGTCATGTCTATGAATAGTGACAGTTTTATATCTTCCTTTCAATCTGTATGCTATTAATTTCATTTTCTTACCTGATTGTACTGGCTAAGACTTGCAGTATAATGTTGAAGGGAGGAGTAAGAGCAGACAGTCTTGCCTTATTTCTGATGTTAGGGGAAAATCATTGAGTGTTTCACATTGAGTGTGATGTTACCTGTAGGTTTTCGGTAGATGAACGGTATGCATATTTGAAAAGCCACCACTGTCCTGAAAGATGTCACAATATAGAAATGGTATAGATTTGGAGTTCAGAGAATAAGTTCTGGAGTCAGACTTACTGGGTTTGAATTCTGACTCGACTCCTTAGCGGCTGCTAGATGTTGGAGTTTTGGGAAGATAGGCTAAGCGAATACATGTAAAATGCTTAGAATGGTGCCTAGTATATTGTATGCTCTCAATGAATGTTAGTTGTTATTCTGTTTGGACAACAGTAAAAATAGCCAAAGAGCTCATGGAGCCTGGATGTAGGAATTTTTTGGCCCAGACCGTGGGGATTTTGATGCCCATATTGGAAACTTTGGAGAATGTTTTGGTTCAGGTGTGGATTCTTATTGAGTCATTGAGCACATTTGGGTCCGAACACTCTCTGAATCAGGGATATGGAGGAATCCATACCAAAAGAACAGGTTGTTTCATAGAAACAGGGAGGGGAACATCACACACCGGGGCCTGTGGGGGGTGGGGGGTAGGGGAGGGATAACATTAGGAGAAATACCTAATGTAGGTGACGGGTTGATGGGTGCAGCAAACCACCATGGCATGTGTATACCTATGTAACAAAACTGCATGTTCTGCACATGTAACCCAGAACTTAAAGTATAATAATAATAATAATAAAAGAACAGGTCATTCTTCAGGTAGAAGAGGAAAGATAAATCCCTAAAGAAACTGGATTTAAATTCTGACTCAGCTCCTTAGTGGCTGCTAGACGTTGGAGTTTTGGGAAGATAGGCTAAGTGAATACATGTAAAATGCTTAGAATGGTGCCTAGTATATTGTATGCTCTCAATGAATGTTAGTTATTCTGTCTGGACAACAGTAAAAATAGCCAAAGAGCTCATGGAGCCTGGATGTACAAATGTGAGGTTAACGAAAAATATACTATAAAATCGATGTGATAAATTATAGAGAATTGCAGTGAGAGGTGTAGAAGACGTGCATGTCTGTGGTGAGAGCAGGGCCTGGGGTTGGGGGTTGAATCACAGCATATGGTAGGAGCATGGCTCATGGTTCACTAGTCACAGTGGACTTTGTTCATCTTCCCCCTTGCCTCTACCGAGTTGTAGAGCAAGATCTTAGATCAGAGAATGAAAGCTGAAGTCGTAAGCATTTGAGTCATGCAGTGGGCTGAGCTCCCTGTCACTGAAAGGATTCAAGCAGAGTTGTGGTGACCAGTGGTCAGGGAAGTTACAGAGAGGCTTGTTGTGCAGTGTGAAAGTTTGAGTTGAGTAACTTGCTAAGACTTTCGTCATGTTCCAAGATTCCTCAACCTTGAACCAAGAATAAGGACACCTGGGGAGGGGGCCGGGCAGCTGAGCCCATGGCTCCCCAGCCTCCTCTGTCTATCTGGTGCATTTGGGAAGGGATCATGTGACACAAAATTTGGGGCAGCGGATGAACGGAGAGCGGGTTCTGGGCTGAGATCTTGGAGATGGGGAGTGGGAGCTTGGGCATAGCCTTCGAGGCACAGTCCCACAGGTGAACAGATGCAGTAGCAGGTGAGGCCATTGGCGGCTGCAGCTCTCTTGGCTGGGCTCACTCAGCTACACAGCCTACGCTTTCTGCAAGGTGTTGCCATGGTAACCTTTTCCTCTCGCTTCTGCAGTCCACCAGTACTTCTCGACTTGGTTAACAAGGCATCTCTTCCTGTTTGGTTTCATCTCGTCTTGTCTTTTTTCTTGCTCTCTCCATTTCTCTTGGTCTCTTTCACTCACTCCTTTGCAGCTCTCTCTGTACCTCTCTTTTTGGGCCTGTACTCCTCTTTGTCTTCTGTTTCAGGTGATCTGCCCCTCTTCCATCTATCCAAGGCTGGAGTGAGGTCCCCCAGCCTCTCTCTCACTTCTAAGCATCAGCAGCTCCTTGAAGAATTCTCTCAGGCTCTCTTGGACCCAGGGCTGCCACGTGCAGCCCCAGTGCAGCATTTCCTGGGTGGTTGGTACCAGGAATTGGAAGAGCTCTTCTGGGGCCCTGTCTTCTTTCTTTGTATGGAGACCCATGTGGGTAGATGCCACCCTGGGGTCCTTCCCTCTCTTTGGAAAACGAGATCTGGGTGAAGTTCTCCTCTAGGCTTGGTTTAGGTTGACTTACACAGTGGAAGCCCATTAGCCTACAGTGCTAAATAAACTCAGCCACTGGTCTGTTGCTAGGGCCCCACCATACATTCAGGATGGAAGTGACCAGTCTAGATGCTTCCGTGAGATTTATTATGGAACACAAGCCTCTCCTTGAGGCCACCCTTCTCAGTGCCTCTGTGACAATCCTTCAGCCCCTCATCCAGCCTGCTTGATTAGAGTTATTAACCACTTAGTGTCAAACTGTAGTCGCTTCTTCTGTGTGTCTCAGCCAGGGAGTAAAGAAGATTTGCCATCTTCATTTTCTTTTCCTCAGAACCTTATGTTCCAGTACTACTCAACTTGAGGATTCTTAATGGTGCTGCTCTTCCCTTTGCTGCCGTAGACCTGTCTCAGGCTGGACAAGAACAGTAGGATGAGGGTAGAGACTCTGTACTGGTATCTGACAGGATCCTATGATCTGACCAAGACTTCAGAGCCTGTCTTTGCTAGTTATGGGATTAAGCAGCCCCTGTAGCTCACCAATTTATAGGACTGGGCCAGTGGAGGAAAGCATTTGCGGGTGGAACTTTAACAACAAAGCAAGGGAACAGGAAGGGCTACAACTGGAATGTAATTGAAACAGCTCTCCCAGAACTAATGAGCTGCCCTGGCTTCTCTGCTGGCCTGCTATGAGGGAGTAATAGGGCTCCAGAAGCTTGTTTAAAATGCTGTATGCAGAGGGCTACACAAAGCAGGTTTTGATCGTATATTTCAACCTGCAGAACAGGACATTTCAACTCAGAAACTGTATTTTAAAAGTCAGGAGATTTCTAGGAAGGGGCTACAGAAGTTCTGTTTTCCATGCCTCTACTTTGGATCCCCATTTAATATCCTCGCAAAGTCAGGGACATTTCAGTGTTGCTTTCCCCTGGGTACATTGAGGCAGACAAACACATTGTCTTTCCCTGGAGGAAACTCTTCAGTACCATACATTTAACACAGCGATGTGCCCTGTTTTCTAAGCACAGTGTCTTCTTAGAACCAATTGGCAGTTCTTTTCTTTATTCTATAGAGTGCTTAACAAAAGTTAAATCCAGTTTCCAAGGGTAGCAAGACCCCCGGGGCACAACTGGAGAGGTCTGGAGGGGAAGGGAGTCGTCTGCTATGACTATCAAAGGGCCTTGATTCCTATTTTTCTCCCTTTAAGAAAAAAAATTTGCACCCTTAATCTTAAAATATGAAGTTTCAATATTTGGGAATTTTTTAATTGAATAGAATTGTTGGCTGACAATTGGGTAGCAGATCTTCCAAGGCTGCAGCGATGCCTGTGTAGACTCCGTGAAGTGGCTGCTCACTCCTTCCTTATTTGGGCTCTCACCATGATGACCCCTGGCCTGTCATCCTTAGCACATTGACCTTGACCGTTTTGTGGAAAGGAGACTACCCGAGCACCCGATAAAAACCACACACTATTGGGTTATTGGCATTTGGGGCGGGCCAGTTCTTTATGGGGTAGCCATGTCTTGTATATTGCAGCATGCTTAGCACTGCTGGTCCGCAGCCCCTAAGTGCCTGTAGTACCCCCCGTCAATGTGTGCATGGGGCAGAAATGCCCCAGACACTTCTGATGGTCGCTAGAGGGCTGTCTACAAGGGAGCAGATAGGGTAGGGCAGGATGGGTCTCTCACAAGGACACTGGACCCAAGGAGTTTGAATTCCAGCTGAGATTCTGCTGTGGAGTAGACAGCCTGGGGCCAGGCTGGGTCTGTGTAGAGGAAGGGGTACCTTTGCAGTGTGCACTGGGAGGCTCTGTGGGTTCGCTCTGCCCCTGGCCATCACCCCTGGCTACAGACTGTTGCTGGAGACCCTTTCCCCAGCAAAGCACACCAATGCGGGTTCACAGGCATTTAACATTCGACTTCCTACTGCTTCTGGGCTGGCCCAGTGCAGTGCCTGGCATGAAGCAGGTGCTCAGGGCATGTCTGTTGACTGAGTGAAATGAATGAAGCCTACCTGTGGTTTTGTCAGGGTCCAAAGATCCTTGGTGATGAAAACTCTTGCTCGGTTCCCAGAGGCACGCACTTCCCTTTGTTTGTATCACCTCTATCTAGAAGCCTTTTCAATCTTGCTCTAATGCTTGAGGTACGGCCAGGGAGGTTCAGGCTGTGAGAGTCTATTGACGTAGACTCAAAGCAGGAGAGTGAAGGAGAGAATCAACTATCAGGGCCCTGGGAACCTGGAAATTCAATTTTTTTTTCCTTCAAAGCCACAGCCTACACTTCCTGGTTGTAAGATTTCAGTCTCCACTTTTTCCCACCCACTGCTCTGTTTTCTTCCATTCAAATTCTCATGTCTTCCTTACCTTCTTAATATGACATTTTGGAATTATTTTCTCTTTTCAGAGCTTGGACTAAATGAAGAATTCCTGATGGTCCCTTTGTTTTCTTGTTTGCTGGCAGGTGGGATAGAATCAGGATTGGTACTACCAGGATTCATGGTTTTCTTTCCTCTTTCTTTGGTACAGAACTTACGTGTTCTTTTTTTCATTAGTTCATTTGTTCATTCATACTTCATGGAGCCAACTGCTCTCCTTGGCTGAATCCAATTAGTGAACTTGGTCTCTGCCTTCACTAAGCCCAGGAAGAGACAGACATGTAAAACCAACAATTACACAGTAATTACAAATAGTCATCCTGCTATTTTGGATACTTGTTTTCTTTTATAGTGTCCAGAGGGTGGTTACAGTTGTCTAGAAAAGAATCCAATCGTTAGGCCTGGGATCCTCCTCTTTGTAGGAATTTTATCTTTTTTTTTGGAGCAATCAGTGTTATTTGAGCACATCAAATTCAGCCTTATTGAGAGTGAGATGGTTTCTTCCTTTATTAACCCTTTATTAACCCATGTACTTTGGACTGTGCTATATGGCTCAGGATGATACTACAAATGTTCCCTTTTCATGAATATTTCCTGTGTGTGTGACCTTGACTGTTGAATGTGGGCTTTCCAGTGTGTGTGTGTGTAGTGTGTGTGTGTATGTGTGTGTGTGTGTATACATTTCCTTCTCAATAGAACTGATTATTTTTGCATGTAAGAGATGAAATCACCTATTGATTTCACAAACCATCTGAGCCCTGTGCTCTTTTTTCCTGAAATTCTATGGGAAAATGAAAGGTAATTATGCATTGGAAGCACACACTAATAACATGCTTGTGGGTGGGGAGGCGTGATTGCAACATGGAATTGGCATTCCTGCTGGTCCTTGTCTTTGAATTTTCGCTACTGAAATATTTGAGATACTCCAGGTAAGCCTTATAATCACCGGGAGTTTTTTGTTTTAAAGCAGCATCAGTGTTTCTGAAACTCATGGGATGGCCTTCCATTCTACTGAACATTGGCAAGGTCCTTTTTAGAATATGTGTTGAATTTCATATACCTGAAGGCACAACAACAGGCTTGGAAATGCTTCAGTGAACACTGGTTCAAATCCAGGGCTGGGACTGGGCGCAGTGACTCATGCCTGTAATCCCAGCACTTTGGGAGGCCAAGGTGCGTGGATCACTTGAGAGGAGGAATTCAAGAGCAGCCTGGCCAACATGGCGAAACCCCATTTTTTTTTTATCTCTACCAAAAATAAAAATAAAAGTTAGCTGGGCATGGTGGTGTGCGCCTGTAGTCCCACCTACTCGGGAGGCTGAGGCAGGAGAACTGCTTGCACCCAGGAGGTGGAGGTTGCTGTGAGCTAAGATCACACCACTGCACTCCAGCCTGGGCGACAGAGGGAGACTCTGTCTCAGTAAATAAATAAAACAAATCCAGGACTGGGCAACCGGACATTGTCATCTGTAAGAGGCATTTTCTTTCACAGCTCTGTGTCTGGTGCTGTTCAAATCAGGGTAGTGGTCTCTTTTATTCAGTAATTCCCGTGCAAGGTCACGTGGGGCATTTATCTGTGAACAGAAGACTTTGAGTCTGCTTCTCACCTCAGCTTGATCCCCAGGTGTCCCCCTGGGGTCAGGAGCAGAAAGGGCCACTAAGGCCTACCAGTGCCTGTGAGCTCCATTCTGAGGTGCTCGGGAATCCCTTTTTGGGGTCAAAGATAACAACTAATTAAAACGTAATAAAGCTGGTATGTGAACAAACACGGCAGAACTCATCTGGCAAACGAGATTGGGCTCCCTGGAAATGGTCAACTTGGAATGATGGCATTATTCAAAAGACTTATGGAAGTCTCTTAGAAGGCTTCTCAGGGCTGGTTTATAATCAAGTTTAAAAACAAAGGCAATCTTATGTTTTTCTGGATGGACATCATTTTAGCAACAACAGCAACATCCCCAGAAAAAATATCTTCCCCCAAAACATTCAAAGCAATTACTCCGAAGTCAGAGGAGCCTCCAGTCATTTTTCCCTGAGGGGCAAAAAGGACTTCACAAGACAAACACAATCCCTGATATTGCATTTTCAGACATTTTCTCATGTCCATTTGGCCTTTGTGGCTTTAGCTGACTTTCTTTTGGTCTCTGGAGCCAACAAGGTTAGGTGAGAGGCTACAGTAAGAATGCAGTGAGAAGAGAGATGAGAACAAACTCACTCTCTACATATTTGTCATTCAAAGCATGGCTGGTTAAAAGGAAATTATGATTTGATTTTTTAAAATTTCATTGTTAATACTTTCACTGTTAGATGGCTCACAAAGATGATGGAATTTACTCAAAAGTTGAAGAAGCATTTATATGGAACCAATTGAGCTCTATGTCTCCTTCCCAGGAAAGATGAGGATTTAAAAGCCTGAGGGCTCACATGGGACCCCAGGCATATTCCTTGCATTAGATTGTGTATTGCTAAGAGTTTAAGCATTGATTTCAGTTGTCTGGGTGGAACAGGCTGCTTAAGTCAGCTTTGCCTCACAGCAAGGAAACCTCAAATCTCAGTGGTTTGCCATCCTGAAGGTTTATTTTGCTTCCAAATAACATGCAGGCTGCAGGTTGGCTGTATCTCTGTCACATTGTTTTCTCCTTCTGGATTCCAGGCTGAAACAGCAGCCCCTGTGGCCATGTGCAATGTCATGGTGGAGGGGAAGAATTAGAGAATTGGTGGAAACTCATGACGTCCTTGAAGAATTCTGCTTGGATGTGGAGTGTTCACATCCATTCACATTCTGTTGCTTAACAAATCATATGGCAAAGTCTGACATTGTACAGGGAAGTATGCTTGGCCAATAGGCAGGTACTGCAATTCCAGGTGGGGACATAAACATCTACTAAGGGGAGGGAGACATGAATAATTGTGAATAGAGTAGGCCTTCTGCATCCGTGGTGAGGAACACACAGATATGAAGAGCTGGCTCAAGGGACTTGATCAGCAGATCTTGGTATCTGTGGGAGGGAGGAGGTATCCCTACGGATACCAAGGGATGACTGTATAATACAGTCTGCTACAGTCTTCCCTCCTGGTCATAAATAATCATCTTATATATCATTTTGTATATTTATATACGACATAAATTCATTTCTGACTCATGGAAGATACCTAAAAATTCGCATGTAATCATGGAATCAGGTGTGAATTTCAGGATCTCATGAGATTCTATCAGCAGGTCTGGATTTAGTTGCTGTTCATCTAGAGAGCTGTGAACCAAAATAAGTGACCTGGTCCACATGTCCGTCGTGGAAGAACAGGAATAGGCCAACCCCAGTGAGCACTTGTATTTCAAAAGAGAAAGAAGCGCATCCACATGGCCATCCTGAAATTCCACTGGACAGCATGAGAGGCCCACCTGCCTTGGGATAGGGAATTCTCCTCAAATGAGAAGCTCTCAAATCCATTGTTCTCTATGGCTTTTTTTTTTTTTTTTTTTTGAAATGGAGTCTCACTCTGTCACCCAGGCTGGAGTGCAGTGGCACAATCTCGGCTCACTGCAACCTCTGACTCCCAGGTTCAAGTGTTTCTCTGGCCTCAGCCTCCCGAGCAGCTGGGACTACAGGTGCACGCCACCATGCCTGGCTAATTTTTGTATTTGTAGTAGAGACGGGGTTTCACTATGTTGGCCAGGCTGGTCTCGAACTCCTGACCTCGTGATCCACCCGCCTTGGCCTCCCAAGGTGCTGGGATTACAGGTGTGAGCCACCGTGCCTGGCCTCTCTCTGACTTTTGACTTCTCCCTCTGGGAGATTTTTCCTTTTTGATCATCCTGTTCGGACACACCTGAAAAAGTATTAGAGAATATATCTTCATTGGGGACTTGGTAGCTTTCTCAGGCTACTTCCTGCTTATAGCAATTTGGGGTGCCAAAAGTTGTTTTAGGTCCCCTGTGGTCACAGTCTCTTTTAGACCAGGCTGGTGTCTCTTTTGGGGATATCATTCATGCTAAACAATGATCAATTTTTATTTCCATTTGATTTTAGTTACTCCCTGGGCCAGTAGCCACACCTACACCTCTTTTGAGGTAACTATTTACCAGACATATCTCTCCTTCTGGATTTAATTACAGGCCACTTTGAGCTTATCAGGTTTCTGTGAGACCATGTCACTAATCACTTTTCCTGTAGCAATTTTGCTCAACTAAAAGGATTTACTAGGGTTAGGGTAGGGCGAGGTGGGGGTGTCTTAATTCCTTTAGAGACTTTAACGTGCCCTTAGTTTTGTCTGTGTCCTGAGGCTAGGTCTTAATCATCTTTCCTTAAAAAAAAAAAAAAAATTTTTTTTTTTTTTTTTGAGACGGGGTCTCACTCTGTCACCCATGCTGGAGTGCAGTGGTGCCATTTGGCTCACTGCAGCCTTGATAGCCCGGGCTCAAGTGATCCTCCCACCTCAGCTTCCCTAGTACCTGGGATTACAGGCACACGCCACTGTGCCTGGGTAATTTTTAAAAATTTGTTGTAGCGACAAGTCTTCGCCATATTGTTTGGGCTGGTCTTGAACTCCTGGGCTCAAAAGATCAGCCCGCCTCAGCCTCCCAGAGTGTTGGGATTATAGGTGTGAGCCACTGCGTCTGGCCCATTTTTTTTCTTTATTTATAGGAGATGAGAAATCATTGTATCTTGCAATTGTTAAGTCCCAAATTTCCTAATTTTCTTTTTTTCCCGCCTCAATCCTATTGGAAAACCAGCTAACTCTTTTCTGAGCTCGTCTCTTTATTGTAGTACTTCGTCAAATGGACCTAATAGTAACCAAATCCCCCTAGCAATGTTCTGTTTTGCGACCTTGTCACCTAAAGCTACACATTCGTTCATTGCAACTCCTGCCTTCGAAGTGATCACAGGGGCAGTTTTACTAAATGTGTTACTGCTGGATCACGGGTCACTATTTCTCTATCCTGTAGTGACAGTTTCCATACCTTTCACTGCCCAGCTCCAAAGCTTATGCCTTGTATTTTATCTGTTATGGCATATCCCACTTCTGGTACTAATTTTTTGCATGCAATCCCACATCTCAGTGGCTCTTTGTATATATGCAGGCTGCAGGCCATGGTTCTGCTTCATATGCATTGTAATTCTGAGACTCAGGGCCAGTCCACATTGGCCATACCTGTTTATGATACTCCTTAAAACTCCTGCTTGGATGTAGTGAGCTTCACATCCACTGGGTCCTATTGGCCCATGCAACTCACATGTCCAACCCTGACCATGGGGCAGGGTGGTCCATAGCCCCACACAGTGTATGACATTGTGCAGGGATGTATAAGTCTTACAGCAAAGGGGAGGATTGAGTAATTGTAAACAGCTATTACAATCTACCACTAGGCTTGTTCAGTGTTAGATAGAAAATGACAAGAAAGAGCTGACTGATAAGATAAAATCACACCCAAATCACCATACAAAGCAAAATTGGGGAGAGTGTGGGGAGAGGGGGTTTCGTATTTTCTGTGTGTTTTTTTTTTTTTTTTTTTTTTTTTTTTTTGAGAAGGAGTCCCACTCTATCACCCAGGCTGGTGGCGCACTCTCAGCTCACTGCAACCTCCGCCTCCCGGGTTCAAGGAATTCTCGTGCCTCAGCCTCCCGAGTAGCGGGGACTACAGGTGTGCACCACCACACCTGGATAATTTTTGTGTTTTTAATAGATATGGGGTTTTGCCATGTTGGCCAGGCTGGTCTCAAACTCTTGACCTTAAGTGATCTGGCCACCTCAGCCTCCCAAAGTGCTGGGATTATAGGCATGAGCCACCATGCCTGACCAGGGTTTAGTGTTTTCTTGGGGTGATTTCTTTCTGGTTCTCTCCTGGCAGTAGTTCTACTCATTGAGCTCCTTAAAAGCTCCTTAGGGAAGTGGCAGCATATCCTGTTTGTGAAGACATCCAGTGAAATGGTTATTTTTATTCCTCGAGGCCTCTTTCTTCTCACCCTGTAGCATGTGCACACATGTGCTTATGCACACATCTCAACCCCAACCTTCCAGGACCTGCTTTCGTCAATCCTTTGATAATAGGGATGTGTTTTAACATTGACAAGGAATCATGCACCTTTTGTTCCTAAGTTCCCCTTTCAACACAGAGCACTATATGTTCTGGATCATTAACTTCCACTTAAGTAGTTTATTGAAGTGAGAGGGAGCTATAAAGTAGGTGAAAGAGCAGAGGCTCCTTAGAATAATAAATGTGAAACTGTCTTCGGGAGATTTGGAAGTTTGTTTGAAGGATTGCTCCAGACACAAGCTGGGTGCTTCTGTGATCATTTGATACCCAACTCTCATTACCTGTCTGTAGCTTGATTGTTTAGAGGTTCTTGTTCTGTACTTCGTTATAAGGTCTGCCGATGTGGGAGCCATATCTTTGCTGGGAGGTGGTGTGCTGGTGTGGAGGCTTTCAGACAGACCTAGGTTGGAACTCACCTTGGAATTCTGGCTTTGTCTTCATTTGTAATTATAATTGAATAATAACATTTTTCACACTAGGACTCAGATAACATATGTAAAGGGACTAGCAACAGAGCTTGACATATACTGTTATTTGTAGCTTCTAAGCCTCACATCGTTTTGCATTTTTAGCATCTCTGAAATTAGCATTTGCCTTACAACCAATGGCATGTCATAGCGGAACTGACATGCTGCATAAAATAACGCTGTGTCTTGGAATTGTTGGTGTCTTAGAATTTGGTGAGATATGGTAATAGGCACTTAATAAATGGATATAAGTGGAAATAAAAGGAATTAGGGCATTCTTGTGTAAGTTAGCGTTCCTCTAACATTTCGATCAGGGGCTATTTTGAGAAGCTGGTGAAAGTTATGGATCTTTATTCCAGCAATATGCATATTCCTGCAAAATTCTGCATATGATTTCAGCATTTCATAGAATGTCCTCAGGCTCTTCCTTAGGCCCAGTCTCTTGGGAGAAGGCACAGATGTCATGCATTCTTCATACTATAATTATTCTTTGCTTTTCTTTTTCTTTTTCTCCTCTCCACTCTGATCTGCTCACTGAGGCATGCTTTAGGTTGTAGCTGTTTTCATTTTCTAGGAAATATAATAGTCTTTCTGTGACAAGTGTTCACCCTACTAGTCCCATTCACTTTCCTTGCCCTCACTGTCTTCTGATTCAGTATCACCAGTTGATCCCCCCGTGGAAGAACTCTCGCCTTCGGTGTCACACTCTCCAAATCCTGACCCTAAGTGCAGCATCAGCAGCAGGTTCTCGTGAAGCATAGTCCTATGGTTTGTTAAGCCAGGTCATGGGAAGGAGCAAGATGCTGGGCTTGTGTTCTTACTTTTTCATTCATTTCATGCAGTTACCAAATTCTTAAGTGTTTCCTGGCACATTCTAGGCACTGCACATTACTGTAGTAGCCAGCCTATCAACCAACCAACCGAACAAACAAATGCAAGAATAAGAACAAGAAATGAAAGTCCCCTCTCATAGAGAGCCGACATTCCAGTGGAGGAGACAGAGAATGAGTTCTAAATGAGCAAAATACATAGTGCGTTAGATGGTGTTGACTGCTAAGGAGAAAGAAACAGCAGATAAGGGGGTAAGACGTATGCATGTGTGTATGGGGTGTAGATGTTGTAGAGGGGGTGGGAAGTGTGCATGTTTGTATGGGGTGTAGTTATAGATAGGGTGGGAAGTGTGCATGTGTGTATGGGGTGTAGGTGTTGTAGAGGGGGTGGGAAGTATGCGTGTGTGTATGGGGTGTAGTTGTAGAGGGGGTGGGAAGTGTGTGTATGGGGTGTAGGTGTTGTAAGGGGGTGAGAAGTGTGTTTGTGTATAGGGTGTACATGGTGTAAGGGGGTAGGAGGTGTGTGTGTGTGTATGGGGTGTAGTTGTAGAGGGGGTGGGAAGAGGGTGTGTGTGTATGGGGTTTAAGTGTTGTAAATTTAGGGAGCATGGTTAGGGAACATCTGAGAAGGTGGCATTTCTATAAGGACCTGAAGCAGGTGAAGGACCAAACCAGGCAGATATTTGGGGAGAAGAGCATTCCAGGTGGAAGGCCCAGCAGGTGTCACTGCCTGGAGGTGGGGCAGAGCTGGCATGTTCAAGAAGAGTCAGAAAGAGGGGTTGCCCAAGCAGAGAATGGTAGAAGAGGAAGGGGGAAATAAAATGGTAGCCAGCTTGCACAAGCCTTCAGAAGTCCTAGTAAGATCCTGGCTTTTGTGCTGAGGCTTCCCGTTTGAACGTGACCTGACTTCAGTTTAAAGAGGATCACCCTGGCTGTTGTGTTGGGATAGATTGCAGCAGGGAGGACATTTTCCCTTATCCCCCTGTTGAATTTCCACTTATGTCTAAAGTGGTTCTGGCCGTGTTTGGTGGACAGAGAAATCATAAATTTATTAAATGTTTAGCGAAAGCACAAAAAGAGGAGCCCTTTTGAAAACGGCCACACCAGCCGAATCTATTGAAACTGCAGTTTCTCCCAAAAGAGAAAGCAACCCAAGCTCTAGCTGGCAGTCCATTGATCTCAAACATCATTCAGGCAATGAATTTCCGCAGTAATAAAGGCATTCGAAGAAGTCCTTGAAATTCATTGTGACCACGTTTGTGCTTGTCCACCCGGCTCTCCGAAAGTGAATTCCAGCCAGAGCCTGTGGTCCTAGCAGGGCACTGGGGTTAACCAGAGCATCAGAGATGCAGCTGTGGTGGCCGTGCTGCCCGACCACCCTGGCAGCTCTGTCTCCACCCCACGCGGGGTCATCATCACAGGCAGAGGGTTCTGGCTTCTCTTCCCTTGGGTTTCCTTCTTTTTTTCTTTTTTTTTTTTTTTTGACGGACTCTCCCTCTGTCGCCCAGTCTGGAGTGCGGTGGCACGATCTCGGCTCACTGCAAGCTCCACCTCCCGGGTTCTCGCCATTCTCCTGCCTCAGCCCCCCGAGTAGCTGGGACTACAGGCGCCCGCCACCACGCCCGGTTCCCTTGGGTTTTCAATTCCTCACCTTCTCTTTACTTCTGGGAAGCAGATCAATTTCTCAGCTCCCCACATGCTAGGTATCATCAAAAGCCCCTCTACGCTATTCATCGTTGTTGCTGTGGTCCAAGTTCTCTCCCTTTCTCTTCCCTGTCTCTTTCTTCACCTTTATGATCATGGTAAAGTGGTTTGCTTGGTTATTTCTGTTTTTTTGTTTTTCCAAATGGCTTACCCATTTCCTATTCTATAGCTTTATTATTATTATTATTATCAGCAAGAGTGGGCAGAGACTGTCTTTCGGCACACTCTTCTATGCCCCAACTTTTCAAGATCATGCTGTGGCACATTAACAAATGTATAACCATGCTCCAGAATGAATCACGTGGAGAGGCAAATTTTATTAAACCAGGTTTGGAGGTCCGAATTGGGTTATGAGCGTGATTTATTTTTATTTTATTTTATTTTTTGAGACAGAGTCTCACTGGGTCACCCAGGCTGGAGTGCAGTGGTGCAATCTTGGCTCACTGCAACCTCAGCCTCCCCTGTTCAAGCAGTTCTCCTGCCTCAGCCTCCTGAGTAGTTGGGATTATGGGTACATACCACCACGCCCAGCTAATTTTTGTATTTTTAGTAGAGATGGGGTTTCACCATGTTGGCCAGGCTGATCTCAAACTCCTGACCTCAAGTGATCTACCCACCTCAACCCCCAAAGTGCTGGGATTACAAGCTTGAGCCACTGTGCCCAGCCTCGAGCATGATTTATAAGGCTGGCCGGGGGCCCTTCTTTCTTTGGGTTTGAGGTGCTCCGCAGGCTGACTGTTGCTGGATTATAAATGTGTTTTATAACAGTTATTTGTCATCTGTGCAGCACAAGCCAAAGGCAGAGTTTTGGGAAAGCTGGGGCCAGTTGAGAGGGACATTCTTTCCTTCCTTTTACCCTTCTTCTGATGCTGGTTGTAATAGACTCACTTTCCTCCCAACATTTCCTGAGAGCACTGTCTTGCGCCAGGGCTCTGGCTGAGACTGGGTGGGTGCAAGGTGTGAATCAGGGACATTAGGAGTTTAAGTGGACCTTGGAAATCATCATCCAGTTCAGTGCTCTTTTCTTTTTTCTTTTTTGGAGATGGAGTTTCACGCTTGTCGCCCAGGCTGGAGTGCAATGGTGCGATCTTGGCTCACTGCAACCTCCACCTCCCGGGTTCAAGCGATTCTCCTGCCTCAGACTCCTGAGTAGTTGGGATTACAGGCATGTGCCACCACTCCTGGCTAATTTTTATATTTTTGGTAGAGACAAGGTTTCATCATGTTGGCCTGGCTGGTCTCGGACTCCTGACCTCAGGAGATCCACCCGCCTCGGCCTCCCAAAGTGCTGGGATTACAGGCGTGAGCCACCACGCCTAGCCAGCTCAGTGCTCTTACATTACAGGTAAGGACAATGAGTCCTGTAGAGGAGAGATAATAAGCACCAGATGGCCCACGAATCTCGTAAGTTCAGCTCGTTAGGTTGCACCCTGGTCTTTTTGTTCTGCCCCTGGCAGGTAACAGTGCCGATGAGGTGAGGTCTTTGGATCCCATTAGTTTCATTCTGTTCCTTGGCCACCTATAGCACCTAACCCCTCACCTCATCAGAGACCTTCCTGCTGTAGGTAGCTGGTGGTCACAGAGGAGATGGAGTCTGTTCAGATGAATCAGCTCAAGAATGTCTTCTGGAGAAAACAACGCAGCTCCTTCACTCATTAATCCTGACCTACTGATAATAACTCAGTTGGACACTTAGCATGTTAGATATTTACATCACAGTGGTTCCTGCCCACTTTTATTTTGTACACAGCCCAATAAAGAGCAGCCAGTGGATTTCCATGACGTCCACATGTCACAAGGGCCCTAGTTAAATTGTCAGGCAAATGAAATTTTTTTCTTGGAATGTCTCCTCCCTCCTCTTGTCCATCTTTTTCCATTTCTAGACATTTCAGTGTCTTGCATGCTGCTTGCTGGCTGTGTATATCTCCCCTGTTAGCTGCTCTGTTGAGAAGTGGTCATGCTCTTTGTCCCTCACATGCTCCAGGTGTTCCCAAATCCCCCCTCACTTCTTCCCTCTAGTGATTTTCCCCAACTCGCAGTTTCCTCCCAACTCCATTTAGGTAGGAGCATTTTGCCGCGAGATAAATCCCAGAGAGCAGGGATCCAGCCTTCCTTGCCTTTGAATCCACAGCCCAGACACAGTGCTTGGCGCCTGACAGATGCTTAGCAAATGCTGGGAAAGCAGAATGATTTCAGGGCCCAACCCCGGAAGTGGAGAAGAGAGAAGTGGAGAAGAGAGTGTGTGTTAACCACGTGTGTGCATCTTGAGTTGGCAGGTGATGGGAAACAGCTGTGTTTGTTATGAACTGGCATTGGTATCTCAATGGAATGTGGACCTATTCTTCCCCCGCTGGGTGTCCTTTTACCAAGCGGTGGACCACTTCCTATCTGGTCACTGAAGATAGAGTGGTCATCCCCCAGTAAATCATGACGTTTGTACTGGTCCATTCCTTTCTGTTACCCTCTCCAACTTCCTTTTAATTTGCAAATGTTTTCAGAAGTGTATGAATTGCATCACAGTCTTAATTAAAGTCTCCCTATGTGTGTGGAACGTGTGGGTATTCCTAGCTTGAGCTTGAGTCTGCTAGAGGGATTCAGCCCTGTCTGGGCATGTTTGGTCAATGAGTTGGGTGGGCTTGCCATGAATTGAGGTGCGGAGGGAGATGGGGAAGCCTTTTGGGAGAGTCCTTGCCTGGTAAAGAGGAATAGGGTATATATGGACCCAGGAATGTGGCTTCAGTGGCCAGAGGAAGGCTGGGATGTATCTCTCGAACTTGGCCACTGGTGCAGTTTTGACTGTTGGGTTCCTGCCCAAGTACTAAGGCCAGGATGGTTGGGGGGCAGGGGAAGAGAGGGTTTGTGAAACAGAAGGAGGATGTAGGCCTGGTGGTCCTACAGTGACATCCTGGAAAAGTGGCAGCAGTGCCCAGCTGCTGCCATGGTAACAGCTGGGTGTGGCTGCCTCCCATTCAGAAGAGGACCATAATAGACATGGAAGGGACCGCGTGCAATGGACTTTGATGAACTCCTGGGACTGGCCCTGAGGACTCCCAGCTGTGCTCATTGGAGGAACCGTGTAAGAGCCTGCCCGAGCCAGTGTGGCAAGAGTTAGGGCTGTATGGTTTCATTTATGCTTAAGGTGATCAAATAGTGGTTTAAGGTCTCTTTTTTCCCTCTTGACAGAAGGTTTCAAGTTTGTGTGTTTGTGTGTACAGATATATGTGTGTGCATGTGTAACGTGCCTGTGTGTGCGCGCATTTCACTGCTGTGAGGGCAGCTCACAATGTCGTGTCTTGGAGGTGAATGCAGTGCTGAGATTAATGGAGTGCTCAAATGCAGTGAACTCCAGCATTTGCTCATTAATTGAGCAGAAGTTCTCTTTGTTCCAAAAGATGGAGCAGCTCCACACACAATCCCTTCTTGTAAAACAAAAGGCCAGATCTCCTTTGTGTACTCGAGTATTACTGGGTACGGCCAGACGTGTGGATGTGTGTTTCAGTAGATGGCACCAGACTTTGGCATATGGTTGTGTGGGTGTAGGTGGCTGGTTTCTATTTACATGAAAAGAAAGCGAAGGTTCCCTAAAAATGTCTACTTAGCAGACTTTTGAAAAAATGGATTCGGGGACATTTCACTTCATAGCAGTCACAAAGGTGTGAATATAGGAGCTACTGGATGTGAGCTGCTCCAGGCTGACGAGGCGTGGGACCATCTGGGCCCCTGGTTTGTGGTTATTGTCAGACTGGCTCGGCTTTCGCCCACTGCCAGGATTCCCAAGGTGCTAGCATATGAGCTAAACACCCGATGACAGGTAGCAGGGGAAAGGCTGGAGAAAGGCCAGCACGGTTGGGATTGGGAGTGGGATGTCTCACTTGTATCCACATGATTTTAATTTATGGAGGTGAGGATGTATGAGTTGCATTTCCCAAGAGAAGGGGGCACACTGCCATGTCATGCCAGGCCCACGTTGTACCACACAGGCCACAGGAAAGCACCAGGAAGCAGAAGAGTGAGGGGAAAGCCGGGACTAGAGCCTTTGTTGGGATTTTCTCAGGAAAAGCGAGGCAGGGCAGGGTAACAATTAGGTAAAGCATTAAAACGAGCTAGTTTGAACAATTCTGGTGGGCTACAGGGGTGTCCCTAGTTGACTGGTACCTGGGCCTGGGTGGATGGTGGGCGAGAGAAATAGTGTCCCGGTGTGAGCATTTGATAAGGAGGTGGTTGGCTAGCACAGGAGAGGCATCTTCAGAATAAGCTGTTTCCTCTCTTGAGGAGTTACCTAGCCCTGGGACAGGCAGTCTCCCCCTGGGTCTGTAACATGATTAATACGTGGGGTGGGTATGACAACAGGTTCTCAAGGTTGGGTACAACTGAGATACCCGGGAGGCTCCGGTCAGGACAGCGAACATCCATGAATAAAAAGAAAATCCATTTTTTCCCAATGAAAAACAAAGTGGCCCCAGCCTGTGCCACTAAAGCAGAAACAGGGGAATGACTTGATTGGCAAAAACCAAAATCAAAACCAAAAACCACCGCAAACAAAAGGCACAGATATTCAATTTTATTTATTTATTTATTTATGAGACAGAGTCTGGCTCTGTCGCCCAGGCTGGAGTGCAGTGGTGCCATCTCAGCTCACTGCAACCTCCGCCTCCCGAGTTCAAGTGATTCTCCTGCCTCAGCCTTCCAAGTAACTGGGATTATAGGAGTCTGTCACCACATCTGGCTAATTTTTGTATTTTTAGTAGCCATGTTGGCCAGGCTGGTCTTGAACCCCTGACCTCAGGTGATCTGCCCACCTCGACCTCCCAAAGTGCTGGGAATGCAGACGTGAGCCACTGCACCCGGCCTATTCAACGTTTTATACAACTGTCCCTCAGTACCTATGGGGTATTAGTTCCAGGACCCTGTGGATACCGAAATCTGCAGATGCACCAGTCCTTGATGGAAAATGGCATCATATTTACATATAACCTATATGCACATCCTCCCATATTCTTTCAGTCATCTCTAGGTTACTTATCATACCTAATACTATATCACTGCTATATAAGTAGTTATATTGTTTCTTATTTGTATTATTTTTATTATTGTATTGTTATTTTGTATTCTTTTTTCTTTTTTTTTTCCCCCGAGATGGAGTCTCGCTCTGTCGTCCAGGCTGGAGTATAGTGGCACGATCTCGTCTCACTGCAAGCTCTGCCTCCCGGGTTCATGCCATTCTTCTGCCTCAGCCTCCCGAGTAGCTGGGACTACAGGTGCCCGCCACCGTGCCTGGCTAACTTTTTGTATTTTTGGTAGAGACAGGGTTTCACCATGTTAGCCAGGATGGTCTTGATCTCCTGATCTCAGGTGATCCACCCACCTCGGCCTCCCAAAGTGCTGGGATTACAGGCGTGAGTCACCACGCATCACCACACCCAGCCTTTTTTTTTCTTTCAATTATTTTAAATTCATGGTAGGTTGAATCTGTGGGTTCCGACTCAGAGGGCCAACTGTATGTGGATTTCTTTTTCTTTGGCAACTGCATATTTTAACTTTCTGATGCTGATATTCAGAATTTTTGACATTTAAAAATTACCGTTGTCAATGGGAACTGGAGATGTTTGAAGAATATAGAACAGAAGATTATTCTGTTGCATGCAGACTGAGATACAGAGTCTATCAGATACCCTGGTTCTCTGATAAAAGAAGTATCTTGATTTCTGGAGAACTAGCAGATAACCCCACCATGCCACAGAGGGTCTTCATGTCAAGTTCATGGTCCGCAACCTCAGAGGAGCCTTGGGCGAGTCCTCAGACCTCTAACATACACTTGCTGTGCTCTCATTTGTTTCCCACGGTGATTAGTCCAAATCTCTACCTCTCTCCCCCTACCCCCTACTTCATCCTTATCCTTTAGGCCTTTCCTTCTCAACAGATGATGTCATCTCTTATTTCACTGAGCAAACTGGGTATCCCAGGAGGAGACTCCATCCACTTCCTGCCCCCTTGCCAAAAATGTATCTTGATTTTTCCTTCCTCTTTACTTCCTGGCTGCCTGCCTTCAAGGAAGTCAGGTCCCTCCCTTTCTCCAGGATTAATTTCTCCAGCTCATTCTTGATTTTGTCCCTGTCTCTCCAGGGAGCTTGCCTCCATGATTAGCTTCATCCTTTGTTCCACTTATGACAGTGTCCGCTGTGTCGACTTCTTTCATTCAGCTTATAAAGATGCCCAAGGCTTCCCATTTAAAAAAATTAAAAAAGGATTTTTTTTTTTGCCCCTACACCCTCCAATTTCTTTCCTCCTGCCCTCTTACCTCCTATCTAACTTTCTCTAGTCTACACCAGTATATAATATGGCATATTATATTCTGGACATTTGGCATTCAGAGTATAAATCAGGACTTTTTAGAAATTGCTGGAAACATCAGGATTGTTTTATTCCTACTTTAATACCCAAGCATATTTAAAAAAGCAGAAATGGTATATATTTTGCTACCGTCCTGACACCACATCTGGGGAAAGCTCTTGGGGTTCAGCTGTCTCTCGAGTCAGCACTCTTGAGCCGATTGCCAATGGAGCAAGAGGGATGGGGAGAAGGTCAAAGAAGGGGGCGCAGCTCAGGGTCTGGGCAAGGAGATGAGCAAGTAGGGCTGGGGTGTAAGATCATGCCAATTGCTGACATTTTGATTCCATCTTCTGCCTTCTCCATGTCAGCTTGTCCTTGGCACAGGCAGGACCAAGTGAGATGCTCTGCTCTGGTCGATGCTTCTGGTCCGGTGTTTCCTCCTCACCCCCGTACCCTCAGGTTCTCCTCCGTCAGCCTACTGAAGTTGCCACCATTAAGGATCCTGTCTTGCACCTTTAATGACCTTGAGCTTGGTGTGGTGGCAGGCTCCCAGCTCTTTGGGAGGCTGAGGTGGGAAAATCACTTGAGCCCAGGAATTCAAGGCTGCAGAAAGCTGTGATCATGCCACTGCACTCCAGCCTGGGTAGCGGCTCAAGACCCCCATCACTTAAAAAAAAAAAAAAAAGATATTGTCCTAAGAATGTAAATAATGTTAACAGCCACTTTCTCTTCTGACTTGGGGCACCACCTTCTCCAGATTCCCCTGTTGCCTTGAGGTCTTCTGTGTGTGGCTTCTGTTGTAATGCCTCCTGCTTGGTGGGGACTGCACTAGGTCCTCTGTAGACATCGTGAAGTTCCAGCTCTCCAGGCTTCTGCAGGGTCCATATCATAGGATTGGACTGGCTAGAGATGAGGAGATTGGGGCTCAGAGAGGCTTACTTAGCTGCTCATTTATTAGCTAGAAAAACCAGAGGTTAAACCCAGGTCTGGCTCTCTTCAAACCTCCTCCTTTTCCTTGGTGTTGGCACGCTCCTTGGGTAACATCTTTCATGCCTGCAGCACCAATGCCCACCAGGAGTGTGCCTGTGCATCCCAAATCCCATCACGTTGCTCAGAACGCCTTCTTGAGCACCAGCCCTGCATTTTCAACTGCTTGTTAGAAATTTCCAAACTGGGCCAGGCTGCAGTGGCTCACGCCTGTAATCCCAGCACTTCGGGAGGCCAAGGCGGGCAGATCACCTGAGGTTGGAAGTTCAAGACCAGCCTGGCCAACATGGTGAAACCCCATCTCTACTAAAAATACAAAAATTAACCGGACATGGTGATGTGTGCCTGTAATTCCAGCTACTCGGGAGGCTGAGGTGGTAGAATTGCTTGAACCCGGGAGGCAGAGGTTGCAGTGAGCTGAGATCACACCATTGTACTCCAGCCTGGGCTCAGAATGGTTGAGGTGGGGTTTGGTTTTGTTTGATGTGCTCAGGGTGGTCTTCACAGAAGAATCAGAATCAGACTGCCTCTCCTAGGAAGGACAGAAGATTGCCTGGGCGAGCGGAAGGAGAACGAGGAGGCTGACAGGAAAAGGGAGGTCGGGAGGGTAAGGGCACTCCAGACAGGACCCAGCAAACTACAGAGATGCAGATGTGAGGGAGACCACGAGATGTGTAAAAAGAGAACGTTTTTGTGTAAAGTTTTTTTTTTTTAAATTATACTTTAAGTTTTAGGGTACATGTGCACAACGTGCAGGTTTGTTATATATGTATACATGTGCCGTGTTGGTGTGCTGCACCCATTAACTCGTCATTTAACATTAGGTATATCTCCTAATGCTATCCTTCCCCCCTTCCTCCACCCCACAACAGGCCCCGGTGTGTGATGTTCCCCTTCCTGTGTCCAAGTGTTCTCATTGTTCAATTCCCACCTATGAGTGTTTTAAAAAACTGGTTCATCTCTAAATCCGTATGGTGGAGGCAGCGATATTATTTTATTTTATGTGTACAGGGAAGGTCTATTTATAAAGGTGTGATTACTCTGTTACTTGTTTTATAAGTGGGTTTTAATATGTATTAAGCAAGAAAAAAGAACCTATACTGAGTTGTGAGTAGAAGTCCCACGGAGGTTCTGGGCAAAGTGTGGTGCTATGGTTGGTATTATTCTGATGCAAAGAACACTCTTTTTTTTTTTTTTTTTTTTTTGAGGTGGAGTCTTGCTCTGTTGCCCAGGCTGGAGTACAGTGGTGTGATCTTGGCTCACTGCAACCTCTGCCTTCTGGGTTCACGTGACTCTCCTGCCTCAGCCTCCTGAGTAGCTGGGATTAAAGGTGCCTGCCATCACGCCCGGCTATTTTTTATATTTTTAGTAGAGATGAGGTTTCACCATGTTGGCCAGGATGGTCTTGAACTCCTGGCCTGAAGTGATCTGCCTGCCTTGGCCTCCCAAAGTATTGGGATTACAGCCATGAGTCACTGTGCCCAGCCTTTTTTTTTTTTTTTTTTTTTGAGACGGAGTCTTGCTCTGTTGCCCAGGATGGGGTGCAGTGACACGATCTCTGCTCACTGCAACTTCCATCTCCCAGGTTCAAGCGATTCTCGCACCTCAGCCTCCTGAGTAGCTGGGATTATAGGCGCATGCCACCACGCCTGGCTAATTTTTGTATTTTTAGTAGAGATGGGGTTTCACAACGTTGGCCACGCTGGTCTCAAACTTCTGACCTCAAGAGATCTGCCTGCCTCAGCCTCCCAAAGTGCTGGGATTACAGGCACGGGCCACCGCACCCGGTTTCTTTTACTTTTTTAAAAAAATAATTTCAACTTTTATTTTAGATTCAGGAGATACATATGCATGTTTGTTATATGAGTATATCATGTGATACTCACTGAGGGGTATGAATGACCCCACCACCCAGATAGGGAGCGTAGTACCCAACAGGTAGTTTTTCAGCCCTTCCCACCTCCCCTCTTCGTAATATCAGCCTTGGCAAACAACTTACGACTAAAAATGTTGTGATAGAATTGAGGAGATCTGGGTTCCAGTCCAACCTTCTGCTGTAACTGCTATAGAAAGTTGAGGAGGCCGGGTGCGGTGGCTCACACCTGTAATCCCAACACTTTGGGAGGCCGAGGTGGGTGGATCATGAGGTGAGGAGATCGAGACCATCCTGGCTAACACGGTGAAACCCCGTCTCTACTAAAAAAATACAAAAAAAAAAAGTAGCCGGGCGTAATGGCGGGCGCCTGGAGTCCCAGCTACTCGGGAGGCTGAAGCAGGAGAATGGCGTGAACGCGGGAAGCGGAGGTTGCAGTGAGCCGAGATCACGCCACTGCACTCCAGCCTGGGCAACAGAGCGAGACTCCGTCTCAAAAAAAAAAAAAGAAAAAAGAAAAAAAAGAAAGAAAGACAGTTGAGCAAACTGGCTCTGCAAGCCTCTGTTTCCTGATTGGTGAGTGAGGACTTTGGCATAAATCAACAATTCTTCACCTTGGCAGATACAGCCCTGTTGGGAACCTGTGGAAGCTGAGGATCCTCTTCCCTAACAAAAAGACACAAATAGACAGTTCTTTTTTTTCCTTAGGATTTTGGACAGTTCCTGAATGTCTGAAGCCCAGCTTAAGAACCCCTGGACCAGTTCTTTCTTCGTAATTTTCCAGTTTGCTTTCTCCAGAGCGTGTTGCATGGAGACCCGTCTGATGGGTGCTAATAATGAGTGGTCAAGTGAGCTTGGAAAATGGGATTCAAGTCAATGTGTTTCTGAAGTGCAAGACCCCTCTAAGGTTAATTTGCTAACAGGCAACGTGACTCTCCCCAGAATCGCATTCTTCATACCTACTGGACCAGTTAGAATTTTCCAGAATGGGTGGGATGCAATGGCTGACGCCTGTAATCTCAACACTTTGGGAGGCCAAGGTGGGAGGATCGCTTGAGCCCAGGAGGTTGAGGCCACAGTGAGCCATAACTGCCCCACTTTACTCCAGCCTCGGTGACAGAACAAGACTCTGACTCCCAAAAAACAACAAAACAAAAAGATTTTTCCAGAATGCACTCTGAGGCAACCTGCTCTTAGGAAACGGTTCTCTGAGATTATTTCTGTTGTCTGAAAGGTATGGTTTTGAGATACCTCTGTTTAGCTTTGGGGTTCCGTTTGAATGTGGATGTTGTTGGTTAATCTTTATATCCTGTGAGATGACCAGGCTTGGCTCCCGTGCCTTGGAGAGGGAGTGGAAACATCCCTGGTCATAGTATAAGATCTGGAACCTTCTCTGGCCAGCATCCTTGTTTGACTGGGGAGATACAGTCATGCGTCAGCGTGGGGCAGTTAAAGGTAATTTCTACCCATCCAATTGGGATTTGCCACCCTGGCAGTTTGGGGTGAAGGCCTCACCCATATAATGACACCATGCTGGGGTCCTTTGCCCTCTGGTATTTGGCATGCACCTAGCATCACCCCTACAGCATGCCCGTCTCCTCCCTTACTGACTGGTGGTCACCCCATGGGCTGTAGACGCTTCCTCAGAATCCTCCTAAAGAAACCCATCCGCCTCGATGGCCTGTGTGACCTGTTTTCATGGAGAACCAGCCTGGCAAGCCGGGGCTCTCTGGACAGTTCTCCTGCCCTTGGCAGAGACGGCACGGTAGTGTCCTGTCGCAAGTCACATAGTGTCTTGGTCAGATGCAGCCGTGTTGTTTTGGCCCCGAAGTGGCCAGCCTGGCCCTGTGTGTGTGGCTAGCAGGTTGCAGCAGCGATTTGAAGGAGGCTGTAAGACTTTACCTACCCCCAAAATCTCTCTCCCAGGATTGCTCCCTGCCACCAAAAGAATACTGATAAAATATTCTTTATCTGAGAAAAAGTGGAGGCCCCCAGCCTCAACCCATTCACACCTGTGGATTTATTAGGCTGGCTGGTTAACATCCCAGGAGGCAGAGAGCACCTGGCCTGGACGCTGGCTAAAGAAGCCTTGGGTTTCAGTGAGGACGGCCACTGAAGGGACGGGCCCTGGATGCCAGAACATAGCCTGATGTCTCACTTGTGGCACATGCAGAATAAAGGGACATTCAGGGAGAAGGAGGAACTAAGGCCTACATCATAGAAGGCTTGGAGTGCTCCCATGAGAAGACAAGAGCCAAGCTGTAAATAAGTGATGTATCTGTCCTCTCCTCTGTGCCCTGCCCCTGCTCACCTCAACACACTCTACCCCTTCCCACGTCCAGGAACGACCTGTCTCCTCCTTCCACTTCTCCCCTACGCCCCGCTTTGGTGACTGCCCCATGCTGTGCACCGCAGTCTGTGGCGTGGGATATGGGTGCAGACTGTTTCCCTGCAGAGTTCTGTGGGTTTCATGTGTCATGTGGTTGTTGGCTTTATCTGCAGTAGGAGGTTCTGCATGGACCCATTTAAGGGGAATGGAACTGGATCACCTGAGTGGAGTGGGATGGAGGTGGGCTGGAGTAAGGAGCAGTTGACTCTGTTTGTTGTTTCTGGGGAGGAAAGCGAGAAAGGATGACTATTTCAGAACTTCTGTGAGGCAGGAAGATCTTTCAGGTTCCCACTTAAGTTCTGCCCGCTCCACATGGGCAGGAGGTCTCATACCATCTTCCTGATTCACTCATTTATTTTTGTTTGTTTGTTTGAGTTGGAGTCTCGCTCCGTCACTCTGTCACGTGGACTGGAGTGCCATGGTGTGATATCGGCTCACTGCAATCTCCGCCTCCTGGGTTCAAGTGATTCTTGTGCCTCAGCCTCCCGAGTAGCTGGGATTATAGGCACGTGCCACTGTGCCTGGCTAATTTTTGTATTTTTAGTAGAGACAGGGTTTCATCATGTTGGCCAGGCTGGTCTCGAACTCCTGAGCTCAAATGATGCGCCCGCCTCGGCCTCCCGAAGTGCAGGTATTACAGTTCTGAGCCCCCGCACCCAGCGCGTGACTCATTCATTTCTGATGGTGTTTTCCTTGTGCTCTCCAGCAGGACAGGAAGAGATATGAGCAGGAGGGACTCGCTGTGTGAAAACACAGGAAATATCTCACTGCTTCCTAAATGCCAGCTCTCTCTTCCCACTTATCTCCTCTGGTGATTGTGGGACTTTAATCAGCCCATTTTCCTTCTTCTGGGATGGTCAGTGCCTTATGCTTTAGTGGAATTGGCTGTTGGAGCCTTCCAGGAAGGAGCAGATGCTTTGATTAGGCAGCCCTGATCTCCGGTGCAAGAGCTGGCCCAGGAGCACTGCTGGCAGGATTTGTGACTTGAAGGGTGGTCTCCATGTTCTCGTACACTTTAACAAGGCAGGTTTCCAGGTGAGTGTAAGCAGGTGGAAGATAAGACACATCATAGTGATCTATGAAGTTTGCTGTCCAGGGAAAGCATCATTTGAAACCTAAGTGTATTTTGATTTTGGGCCTTTAATCGGATTTGTTTAAGGAAATTCTGCCAGTGGATGTTATGCTGATTTGTCCATTAAAGCCCTGTTTCATTAAACAAGGTCTGTTTCAGGTGAGTTGCCTTCTGTCATCAGTTGGAGTCAGGAGGATTCAGTGTATATCTCTCACAGCAAGGCAGGCCAGCTGAAATACCCTTGGCCTAGGCATCATTCCAGGTGCTGGGTCAGGAGTTGCCTGCATCCACCTCCCCAGCTCTCTGTGCCAGCACTTGTCCACTGTTTCCAACTGTGTGCACAGACCCAGCCAAGCCCCGTTCTGGTTTTGGGTAGGAAGGAAGCCCAGGAGGAAACACTGCCTGCAAAGGCACAGGTGTCCTTCTCACCCGTGGTGCCCACGTCTCTCAATCCTGACTATTTTAGACTCCTTGGCCTGGCTTCCTGGCCATTTGTGGCTCAGACCTCTGGCTGACTTCCTCCTCTTCTCCCGTGGACTCCTGAATGGGGTCTGGTCACCTGGCCGCAGCCAGTTTCTCATCTGCTTTCCTTTGCCATTGTGGAGCTCCTTGGATCTGCCCTCTCTCCCATGTGACTTGTAGGAACTTTTGAGGTGTTGTCTAACCAGACTCCTCATTCTGGCCCTTTTGCTCTACTCTAGCTCGTTGTGAACCCAAAAGAGCGTCAAGAGTTGGGGTCCTCTTTGGCCGAGTGTGGTGGCTCACGCCTGTAATCCCAGCACTTTGGGAGGCCAAGGCAGGCGGATCAGGAGGTCAGGAGACTGAGACCATCCTGGCTAACACAGTGAAACCCCATCTCTACTAAATATACAAAACATTAGCCGGGCGTGGTGGCGGGCGCCTGTAGTCCCAGCTACTCAGGAGGCTGAGGCAGGAGAATGGCGTGAACCCGGGAGGCGGAGCTTGCAGTGAGCTGAGATCACGCCACTGTACTCTAGCCTGGGCGACAGAGCGAGACTCTGTCTCAAAAAAAAAAAAAGAGTTGAGTTCTTCTTCATGCCAGGAGTGGCAGTTGCAGGGGTCAGGGTTGACAGTAGATGTTGGGTAGAGCCCACGAGGTTAAGGCTGCCGTGAGCTGAGATTGCGCCACTGCACTCCAGCCTGGGTGACCAAGAGAGACCTTGTCTTCTTTTTTTTTTTAGAGACAGAGTCTTGCTCTGTCACCCAGGCTGGAGTGCAGTGGTGAGATCTTGGCTTACTGCAACCTCCGTCCCCCAGGTTCAAGCAGTTCTTCTGCCTCAGCCTCCCAAATAGCTGTGATTACAGGCATGTGCCACCACACCTGGGTAATTTTTTGTGTATTTAGTAGAGATGGGGTTTTACCATGTTGGCCAGGCGGGTCTGGAACTCCTGACTTCAGGTGATCCGCCTGCCTTGGCCTCCCAAATTGCTGGGAGTACAGGTGTGAGCCACTGTGCCTGGCCTAGACACTATTTAAAAAAAAAAAAAAATAGGAAACAGAAACAGAATCCATCCAGCCACAAAGCACTGCTATTTTCATACTGGTCATTCTCCAGGAGAATCATGGCCTGTGCTATCTTTTTTTTTTTTTTTTTTTTTTTTTTGAGATGGAGTCTCGCTGTGTTGCCCAGGCTGGAGTGCAGTGGTGCGATCTCAGCTCACTGCAAGCTCCGCTTCCCGGGTTCATGCCATTCTTCTGCCTCAGCCTCCCAAGTAGCTGGGACTACAGGTGCCCGCCACCTCGCCTGGCTAATGTTTTGTATATTTAGTAGAGACGGGGTTTCACCATGTTCGCCAGGATGGTCTCGATCTCCTGACCTCGTGATCCGCCTGCCTCGGCCTCCCAAAGTGCTGGGATTACAGGCGTGAGCCACTGTGCCCAGCCGTGCTATCTTTTCTTGAGTAAAGAAATCCCTGCTGATGGGACTGGTGAGCTTTTCCAGGAGGGGGAAAGGTTCTGTAATGCAGCCATGCCCTCCTGCCCACCTTCGGGGACCACATTTGTGAGAGAATCACTTATATCACAAGGCTTTTCATGCCTATGAAGTAATTCTCGCTCTGAGATCCTGAATCCCTTGGCCCGTCAGTGCCACCTGAGAAGGAAAGAAACAAACCGGGGCCCAGTTAGAGCCCAGAGGGTTCCTCAGGCCAACTCAGGATTCCTTCAGTGGCAAAGGCCTGGGGTGCTCTGGGACCTTCCTTGTTGCTGCGAGGCGAGCCCTCCCTTCACCACATTCCTCAGAGTGGCCCTGCACCTGCTCAGAGTGGCTGTGTCTAGGTGACAGACTCTTGCCATGCAGACCAGAGTGAAGCTGATAGGATTTGCTTTGTCACCACCAAAGAGTGTCTGTGGCCGCTCTTCCTTATTTTGGACACTGTATGGTGAAAATTCAGTGGAGACTGAACGTGTTGGGTTCCTTTGCCTGAAATGCCCTTCCCCTTTATTACTGGAAAATCGTCCCCAGGCTTCCAACTCTGGGCTCACCTCTTTTTGTTTTTTTAGAGATAGAGTCTCACTGTGTTGTCCAGGCTGCTCTCGAACTCCTGGGCTCTCGAACTCACATGTTCCTCCTTCCTCAGCCTCCCAAGTAGCTGGGACTGCACGTGTGTGCCACCGCGCCCGGCTTGGGCTCACCGCTTTTGAGGGAGTGTCCTCTGTCACTGCAGTTTCTGTGTCATCTGCCCTCCCTAGCAGTAATGACTACTGAGGAAGGAGGCCCTAGCTGTGTTTTCATCTCAGGGTTCCCATGTATACAGCACAGTGCCTGGCCCATGTGGAGTGAGTGACCAGCATCTGTTCCCGTCTTCAGCACTATTAAGAGTTTTAGCAGGAGGGTGCAGACTTTTTTTCCTGCCCAGGAGCTCACTTGCTCCTGTTATGCATATAGCAGGGTGAGAGGGAGGTGGGGCATGGTTTTAGGGCAAGGGCAGTTGAGTTTTCCGGTTCTGGGAGGAGGCTGGTTATTGAGACCTCAGGATATTTTGTCTCCCAGTCCTCTAGGCAGACAGACCTTCCTAGACAAATAAAAAGACCAATCAAGCCCGATTACTTTGAAAAATTCACATTGATTTCCTCCATTATCTTCTCTCTCCACCTCCCCCTTCAAATTTAATGAACAAAACTAGGAAGATAAATGACCTGGTGCTCATGGGCTGTGAGACTTTGTGTCTGCTCATTACCCGGGGGCTTGGCTGCCCCTCTGTGCTCTGGCTGGGGCCTCTACGGTCACAGTGCTGCAAATAAACCTTTGAGAGAGTCACAGTGGCTGGACCTATTGCAAGAGGTCACTACAGAGCGTGAGCAACTTTGATTATTTTTCTTATGTCTGAATCGGGGTCTTAGGAACTAGCGAGTATTATAGATGGAGTTGTGCCTCAGAGAGACCCAGCATCAGGGGCTGCAATGGGCTTTTGTTGTTGAAGATCCATCCAAGAAGAAGAACTTGTTTTTCCTTTGGCCCTTTCTTGTTTATTTTGATGGAATTTCTTTTTTTTTTTTTTTTTTCTTTTCGAGACAGAGTCTTGCTCTGTTGCCCAGGCTGGAGTGCAGTGCCCTGATCTTGGATCACTGCATCCTCTGCCTCCCAGGTTCAAATAGTTCTCCTGCTTCAGTTCCTCAAGTAGCTGGGATTACAGGCTCCTGCCACCACGCCCTGCTAATTTTTTGTATTTTTGGTAGAGACGGGGTTTCATCATTTGGTCAGGCTGGTCTCAACTCCTGACCTCAGGTGATCCACTTACCTTGGCCTCCCAAAGTGTTGGGATTACAGGCATGAGCCGCCGAGCCCGGCCTATTTCAATGGAATTTCTTAATGACTTTTTTTTCTAACTACAATTTATCATCTTTGACTAAGAAGAACAAAAAACAAAATAATTCTGAGTTTCCCTTATTTGCAAGGCAAGATCCACTCTATAATAGTTCTGTAATGGTGCTGGAAAAAGGCCTTGGGACTGAGTGTTCCTCCTGGGCAGAGGGGTACCCACTGGAAGAAACCAGAGGGGTACCCACTGGTTGTTAAGCTAATTGTACACCTGGTTTACCTCCACCAGCTGCATGTTAAGCCTATTGTTTCCCTTGCTGGTTTTCAAAGTATGTCCGGTTATTCTATCTATAGATATTTGCTCTTGGCATGCTGGTATGGACCAGCCATCTCTTTGTTGATTTGTTTATTCATTTATTCTTCGCTTAGCAACTGCATTCATTTCCTATGGAGTAGTTTGCTGTTAACAAATTACTACAAACTTGGAAGACTTAAAACCGTAGAGATTTATTTTCTCAGGGAGACCATCGGTCTGAAATCATGGCGTCAGTAGGGCCACCCATGCTCCCTCTGAAGGCTCAAGGAGAGAATCCTTACTTGCCTCTTCCTAGTGTCTGGTAGCCCCAGCTATTTTTAGCATTCCTTGGCTTGTAGCCGCATCACTCCAGTCTCTGCTTTTGATGTCGCCTGGCCTCTGTGTGTCCTCTCCTCTTCCTTTTTTTTTTTTCCTTTTTATTTTTTTTGGAGACAGAGCTTCGCTCTTATTACCCAGGCTGGAGTGCAATGGCATGATCTCGGATCACCACAACCTCCACCTCCCAGGTTTAAGCGATTATCCTGCCTCAGCCTCCGGAGTAGCTGGGATTACAGGCGTGTGCCACCACGCCTGGCTAATTTTGTATTTTTAGTAGAGACGGGGTTTTACCATGTTGGCCAGGCTGGTCTCGAACTCTCGACCTCAGGTAATCCACCCGCCTCGGCCTTTCAAAGTGCTGGGATTACAGGTGTGAGCCACTGTGCCCGGCCTCTCCTCTTCTTATAAGGATACCATCACTGGCTTTGAGGCCCACCCCAATCCAAGATGGCCTTATCTTTATGACCTCTGCAAAGACCCTGTTTCCTGTTCCCCAGGGAGGCCCTAGCTGTGTCTTTATCTCAGGGCCCCATGCATGCAGCACAGTGCCAACATAGGTTGGGTGAGCCACCAGCATCTGTTCCCATAATCAACCCTGTTAAGAGTCTTAGCAGTGTTGAAGAGCAGAATTCAGAATCTTAGAGGGGACCCCATTCAACTCACTGCCACTGGTGTTTATGCAAAAGCTTAATGGGTGTTAGGCATTCTGCTGTCTGCTGGGAATATATTTAATTCTAGTGTGCACTGGCGGACATGGCCCTGCCCTCCTAGAACTTGTAGTCTGCTGGGGAAGACAGTGGTGAATCTTCACACAAATATCCAGTTATAGTCCAAACCCGAGCCTCTCTCCTGTGGTCTGCCTTCCCGGCCCATCCAGGTGGGTGTTTTCATCTGTACCGTACCCAAATCTCTACTTCTTATGTACGGAGACAGGACACACCTGATTTTATATGTTTGCTCAGAGCTCAAGAGGGCAGGGCTCTGTTGCCAGTCCCTGCCTTCCACCCACAACCCACGCCTCTAATTGTCTTAGGATTTAACACTGAGCCACACACTGACTATCTCCAGGATGCAGTGGGCCTTCGCCTCAGCAGGGGCCTGTGGGTCAATGAGCAAAGCCCTTTTCCTGGAGTAGAGACGTCCATCACTTCCCATGCGCTCCAGCTCCCGCAGTCCAGGCCCCTGCAGTGGAATTCCAGCTGCCGAGGCCACCTCATTGCCTTTTGGCATTCGTTTTCATAAATCTACCAGGAGAAATATTTCTCTCTGACTTCACTTGGACACGATTTTTCAGTTTAACAGCATTGCTGATATTCTGATGGGTTTCCTCAGCGTTGCAACCTCCTGCAACATAATCCTTCTGGAGGGCAGCATCGTGTTTTTTTTTCGTGTTTTTTTTTTGTTGTTTGTTTGTTTGTTTCCCTCTAATAGGCACAGGCATGCAGGTGACCTTTTGAAGCTCGAATTTTGTTTCAGAAAAGGAAGATGCTAAAAACAAGGACCCTCACTGTGCTGTCGCCTGTGAGATGCTGAACTCTGTAATTGCTGCTGTTTCATGATTAGTGTCTGCTTTCCCAGCACAGTGACTCGGAAACACCTGCAGCATGGATGCCGTTGTTTGTTGTTGTTGCATTAATAACTGCAGATGCTGTTGAAGTGCTCACCCATCAATCATTCCTAGTTACTTACCACTATTTCCTCTGCCCTGGAGGGCGCGCCTGCCCCCCTCACAAATCCCTTTGCCCCCACTCTTTCCCTCTTGCAGTAAGGTCTCCACCCAGCAGTCAGTGACTGTAAAAGTGCAAATCAGATTGTGTCAGAGCCAAGTCCAAGGACCTAACCATAGACTTCCAGGATCAGGGTCCTGGCTGCCCCTCTGGACTCATTTACTGTCACCCCAGCCCGCCCCCTTCATTCCTCTTTCTCTTCCTCACTGGCCTCCTTGCAGATCCTCATACATCCTCATAATCCTGCATCCTCATAATCCTGGCACCCTCCTTCTCAGAACCCTGATGCCTGCCCTTCCTTCCCTCCAGATACCCCCACGACTTGTTCCTCCTTTGTTGACATCCTTGCTCAAATGGTATCTCTCTGGGAAGTGAGCTCCTTCTCCCAAAGGCCACTTTCCATCTCCTTGCCTTGCTGTCTTTTTCTTTCTTTCTTTCTTTCTTTCTTTCTTTCTTTCTTTCTTTCTTTCTTTCTTTCTTTCTTTCTTTCTTTCTTTCTTTTCTTTCTTTCTTTTTCTTTCTTTCTTTCTTTTCTTTCTTTCTTTTTCTTTCTTTCTTTTCTCTTTCTCTTTCTCTCTTTCTCTCTCTCTCTTTCTTTCTTTCTCTTTCTCTCTCTCTTTCTCTCTCTCTCTCTTTCTCTCTCTCTCTCTTTCTCTCTCTCTCTCTTTCTTTCTCTCTCTCTCTCTCTTTCTTTTTTCAGAATCTTGTTGTGTCACCCAGGCTGGAATATAGTGGTGTGATCTCGGCTCACTGCAACCTCCACCTCCCAGGCTCACACAATTCTCCTGCCTCAGCCTCCCAGGTAGCTGGGATTACAGGCACCTGCCCCCACGCCCGGCTAACTTTTGTATTTTTAGTAGAGACGGGGTTTCGCCATTTTGGCCAGGCTGTCCTCAAACTCGTGACCTCAAGTGATCCGTCCACCTTGGCCTCCCAAAGTGCTGGGATTACAGGCATGAGCCACCGTGCCCGGCCCCTGCTGTCGTTCTCTCCCTCAGCATTCTGCTACATGAGTTTTTCCTTGCTGCTGTCTCCTTTCCCCAGTTCGTTGATTTGCCCATTGCTATAATCCTGATGATGAGAATAGCACTTTATAAGTGGTGAATGTGGCCGGAGAGGAATTGTGGTGTTAGAGTAATGAGGGGAAATGAGACAGGCCATCAAGTCTATCCGACCCTTGCCTTTCCATAAGATTCCTTCGCTCCCCACTTCAAATGATGATGAAACACAAAGAAAATGGGACTTAAGAGGGTAAAAAAACAATGTAAATAATTACGATTGTTGGTTTCAGGATAGGAAATTTAAAGTGGGCTTCAGTCTGTAGTTGGGTTTGGCAGGTGGACTCCTTAGGGCCTTTTTTCTTACCCTGTATTTCCACCCCAGCAAGAGTGGTGGCAGGGGAGGGGCAAGGTGGGGTACAGCAGGGGCTTGGGGTGGGGGTTGCTGCTGGGGAAATGGAGCTGCCCTTTTACCGAGCCTGGAGACCTGGGCAGGATCTAGCCCAGGCATCCTTCAGCGCAGCACAGCTAATGTCCACCTCTGAAAGTCATCACGTTTTCTTTTGTTCCTATTTGGGTTTATTAAGAGCCAGCGGAGTTCCTGCATAAAGCTTAGGAGAGTGCAGCCGAATTACTTGGGCTGATGGGGGTCGGTCAAGTGGCTTTTACTTAAACAGTTCTGAACACTTGGCACCCACTTCAGGCTGAGTCTTGCATAGTCCCCGAAGGGTCTCCTCCTGCTCCAGCAAGAGCATCTGCTTCCTCTTGGCAGTCGCCTCCCTGAGCAACTGCTGCAGGGGAAAGAGTGAGGGTTCTGAAGTCAGGAGACGTGGGTTCTTGACCTGGTTCTGCCGCTGCAGAAAAGAAAAGAGAACCAGGGTGGTGTTATGTATGTGCACGTGTGTGCACATTTTGCATAATGTATGAATATCTATATGAGTGTCTACGTGAGTGTATATGCACAATGCATGTATACATGTATGTGCATGCATATATGTGTGCATGCCCATGTATGCACTGTGTATATGCATGTGCTTGCATGTGTGTATGACTGGGTGTGTGTGTCTTTTTTTTTCTCTGACAAGCTGAAGAGTTTTCAATGAAATCAGAATCCCTGCCTCTATGTCACAGCAGAAGTTTTTCACCATTTGTTTCACTAAGATTCTTGGGTCTGGTCCTGTTCAGGGGAGAAGCCCAGAAATTCATGCCTTCCCTCCTCTGGGGACCAGCTGGGGGCTGTTCTAAAGTGCTAACATGGTCAACAATACATTTCCTCCCCAGTAGCAGCGGTATAGCTGAGTGGATGCGCCGGGAGGCCTGAAGCGTCCTGATCAATTCTCTGTGTTGCTCATGAACTCGGATGCTCCAGCCCCTTGAGGAGCTCCCAGTGTATCCTTATGTCTTTGGGGGCGGCCAGTTGAAAAACAAGCATTTCCTTCCACGTGTCTATGTGCGCAGGTATCTTTCCACCATCTGTCCACTGGAACTGGTCTTACTGAGGTGGCCCCCAAATTGCCAGATGCACCAGACACTTTTTGGTGCCTTATTAGATTTCCTGCTGCATTCAGTTCACTTGGCTCTTCCCCCTTCTCTTCATCCTGGGCTTTACTGGTGACACTTTGTTCCTGTTTCTCCCCATCTCCTTCCTGACTGGGGTTTTTCCAGACTCTCCTACGTTTCTGTGGATCCTGTTCCCCCAGCCGTCCTGTACCTGTTGCTTTTACCCCTTCCTCCAGGTCTCACCTTCCACCCCTCTTCTCTTGGGTAATCTTTTCTCTGTGAGATACTTTAACTACCCTCAGTATACCACTGACTCCCAACTCTGGGTCAGCCGCCCACACTTCTTTTAGAACTCCACACCGAATTCCCTTGCCGCCTGTTTTTGTTTTTGTTTTTGTTTTCCCTCTAATAGGCACAGGCATGCAGGTTAGCTTTTGAAGCTTGGATTTTGTTTCAGAAAAGGAAGAGGCTAAAAACCAGGACCCTCACTATGCTGTCGCTTATGAGATGCTGAACTCACAAGGATCCTGACATCACCATGATATTAGACTTTCTTCAAACTCAGCTCATCCCAAACTCAACCCATCGGCTCCTCCTAAACCCGTTGCCTCTCTGGCATTTCTTCTGAATTAGGGGTACCAACGTTCAACTACTTATCTCAAGCCCCAAACACTTGGCTCTGCTGTACAGTAGAACTTTCTGTAATAATAGAAAAGTTCTGTTTGTACCATCCAGTACAGATGCCACTAGCTTCACATGTCTATCAAGCCCCGAAGTGTGGCTAGTGCAAGCTGAGTTCATTTCAATTTTAACATGTTTTAATGAGGTTATATTAGATGACTGCATGTGGCTTGTGGTTCTCATATTAGACAGCACAGTGCAGATGGCTTCCTTTTCCCACCTCCGATGTCCAGCAGGTCACTGTCTGTCCCCACTGGGGTCCTCTCAGTTCAGGCCTTCATCATCTCTGCCATGAATTACTACAGGAGCTCCCAAATTGGTTTCCATGCTTCCTGGTCCTTTCCAAATTTCTGTTGTTGGAGTGCTCTCACTCACCCTTGAGGACTTTTCTGTTTTTCTGTTTGTTTTTTTTTTTTTTTTTTTGAGACAGAGTCTTACTCTGTCGCCCAGCCTGGAGTGCAGTGGCATGATCTTGGCTCACTGCAACCTCCACCTCCTGGATTCATGTGATTCTCCTGCCTCAGCCTCCCGAGTAGCTGGGATTATAGGTGCCCGCCACCACGCCCAGCTAATTTTTGTATTTTTAGTAGAGATGGGGTTTCTCCATGTTGGTCAGGCTGGTCTTGAACTCCTGAGACCTCAGGTGATCCGCCTGACTCGGCCTCCCCAAATGCTGGGATTACAGGTGTGAGCCACCGCACCTGGCTGTGAGGACTTTTCTTAAGCGTCATTTCCCATGTCCCTTTCCCTCACTCCCTGGTACAGGCAAAATTGAGCATTTTCTCATCTGTGTTTCTCTTCCTACTTCTGTCATTACAATGAACAAATGTGTTATAAATATTATTAAAAATAGATGTGCATCCCCCTCTGTGAACTCTTTGAGGAAGAACAGCCTTGGTCTTTCTTCATCTTTCGGTACGCTGTTGGGGTACAGCACTAACAAATGTTTACTGAGTGAATAAAGGATTAATGTAGGCCGGGTGCAGTGACTCATGCCTGTAATCCCAGCACTTTCGGAGGCTGAGGCGGGCAGATCACTTGAGGTCAAGAGTTCAAGACCAGCCTTGCCAACATGGTGAAACCCTGTCTCTACTAAAAATAGAAAAATTAGCCGGGTGTGGTGGCAGGCATCTGTAATCCCAGTTACTCAGGAGGTTGAGGCACGAGAATCACTTGAACCTGGGAGGTGGAGGTTGCAGTGAGCCAAGATTGCACCACTGAACTCCAGCCTGGGTGACAGAGCGAGACTCTGTCTCAAAAAAAAAAAAAAAAAAAAAAAAAAAGGATTAATGTGAACAATCCCCAAATGTTCTCTTTTTGGTTTTAGATTACGTTATACATTTTTGAAAATTTGTTGTAAAAATCCTATCTATTACAAAAATCATATAACCAGAATGCCGTTTTCATAGTAATATAAAATAACTTAAATTCCCTGAAGACTATTGAGTTTAAGATACTGAATCATACATATGCACACCAAAAAAAAAGATTAAAAATAATCTTTAATAGGGCCTTGGGATTATGTGCACTTTATTAAGCGCTAATTCTTTCAAAATTGGCCATTTGTGTATGATCTATATTAGCAATTTTCATTTAACTACAGTATTTGGTTAAATAAAATACCCCTTTCCAACTATTCTTCACAGAGAAGGAGTTTATTGAACATTCTCAACTAGAGTTTTGCTGAAAGTAATGGAATTTTCTTTCCTTGAACTCAAAGAATAGAAAATAGAAAATTGAAAAAGAGAAAAATAGAGAACTCACTATGGATGGTGGAGAACTGGCAGCTCAGATGTTTGCTTCCCTTTAGGGTAAGGGTGGCAGAGGCTCTTCTTGATATAAACAGCATGTTTAGAGGGTCTTCATTCCATTTAGTGGGATTTTTTTTTTTTTTTGAGACAGAGTTTTTGCTCTTGTTGCCCAGGCTGGAATGCAATGGCACTATCTCAGCTCACTGCAACCTCCGCTTCCTGGGTTCAAGCAATTCTCCCGCCTCAGCCTCCCATGTAGCTGGGATTACAGGCATGCACCAGCATGCCCAGCTGATTTTTGTGTTTTTAGTAGAGATGAGGTTTCACCATGTTGGCCAGGATGGTCTCGAACTCTTGACCTCAGGTGATCCTCCCACCTTGGCCTCCCAAATTGCTGGGATTACAGGTGTGAGCCCGCGCACCCAGCCATTTATTTGGTTCTCAAAGCAGGATAGGGCTGTTTTCTTCTTCCTGTGCACTAACATCTCAGGAATGATTTTCCAAGCTGCCTTCTCCCATCGCACCAACCCTGCTGCCTCCCAGCCTTCCCTGCCCGCTGCCTGTTCTGTCACATCCCACCTCATCCCTACCAATGCGACTAGCACCCACCAATGCGACTAGCACCCACCAATGCAACTAGCAATAGCTACCTTGAAGTAACCAAAGAAACATTCTTCTGTTTTAAGTTAATCAATGAAGCAAATCAGTTTCTGCGTTAGTTTCTGGGGAAACAGTGGAGAGGAGGATGAACACTGCCCTACCTTCACAGCACCACCCTGGTCAGTTCCTGCTGCTTATAGGATCACATAGAAAGACGGTCTCCCAGTCCACCTTCAGCCCACCATCCCTGGGTGCATCTTCTACAGCACCATCTCTCTAGGCCCACACTGAAATTGACCACTCCACTGGAGATGTTTCTCCCATTGCCTAGCAACCTCCCAGGTCTTATTCAATACTTAGATTAATTATTCCCCTCTCTGAAACGTTTCTGACTCATTCAGGTTGAGGTACTGGCTCCTTCTAGGTTCCCTCTAGAATTTTTTTTTTTTTTTTTTGAGACAGGGTCTTGCTCTGTTGCTCAGGCTGGAGAACAGTGGCATGATCTCAGCTCACTGCAACCTCTACCTCTTGTGTTCAATTGATTCTCCTGCCTCAGCCTCCCAAGTAGCTGGAAATACAGGTGCGTGCCACCACACCCGGCTAATTTTTTTTTTTTTTTTTTTTTAGTAGGGATGAGGTTTCACCATGTTAGCCAGGATGGTCTCCTGACCTCGTGATCTGCCCACCTCAGCCTCCCAAAGTGCTGCGATTACAGGCATGAGTCACCGTCCCTGGCCTTTTTTTTTTTTTTTTTTTTTTTTTTTGAGACAGAGTCTCACTCTGTTGCCAGGCTGGAGTGCAGTGATACCATACTGGTGTGCTGCAACCTCCGCTTCCTGGGCTCAAGTGATTCTCATGCCTCAGCCTCCAGAGTAGCTGGGATTACAGGCATGCGCCACCACGCACAGCTAATTTTTGTGTTTTTAGTAGAGATGGGGTTTCACCATGTTGGTCAGGCTGGTCTTGAACTCCTGGGCCCAAGTGATCCTTCCACTTCAGCCTCCCAAAGTGCTGGGATTACAGATGTGAGCCACCATGCCCAACCCCCTCTGTAATTTTCTATTTATCATGAGCATTGGTTATTTTGCATTGAACTTTATCAGTTTACATACTGATCACACTCACTGCTTGGTTCTAAAGGTTCAGACACTATACAGCACCTGTCTGTATATCCCTAGCACTTAGTACAAACAGGGCCTGGTATATAGCAGACATCGAGGAAATATCTAAAAGGAAAACAATATTTTTATTGGGGTGGTAAGTGCCTTAGTCACCTAGGAGAACTCACTAACTTTCTCTCCAACAATGGGACTTATCCAGCCTCCTTGGTGTCTTTAGCCCTCTTCTTCCTAGGACCCTATTAGAATAGTGACATTATCATGGTCAAGAACCAGATCTTCTTTTGAACTTATTCTAACCTTGATTTTTCTCATGTTGTGTGTTTTGGGTTTTGATAGCAAATTAAGGCCCTCCCTAACCCCCCATTTTTTTAACCCTAAATTTGGCCTGCAGACTCGGGAAGAGCATTGGTTTTCCAATGAGGATTCTCAGGTGATTTAGCAGGAATGAGACTTAAAGAACAAATTGTACAATATAGATAGCTAAGGAACTCACTGCTATATTGAGCTTCTGTGGTCCGTATCTATATATATATATTTTTTTTCCCTGAGACAGTCTTGCTGTGTCGCCCAGGCTGGAGTGCAGTGGCACGATCCTGGGTCACTGCAACCTCCACCCCCCATTTCAAGCAATTCTCCTGCCTCAGCCTCCCAAGTAGCTGGGATTATAGGCATGTGTCACCACGCCTGGCTAATTTTTGTATTTTTAGCAGAGACAGGGTTTCACCATGTTGGCCAGGCTGGTCTTGAACTCTTGACCTCGCAATCTGCCTGACTCAGCCTCCCAAAGTGCTGGGATTACAGGCGTGAATCACCGCCCCGGCCCCTGGTCCATATGTTTTCATTCAATAGTATTGGGCTTCATTTTCCTTTTTCTTTTCTTTTCTTTTTGGAGGGAAGTTGGTAGTGGGTATTGTTTAGTTAGAACTTAGTATAAATGATCCTTTTGACAAGGGAACAAAAGCCCTCATTCTGATTGGCACAGTATTTGAAATCAAAGTCATAGCTATCATTACGAAGACCTCATTTCCTGATGATTGATTTAACATAATTGCCTCTTGGAGAACCTACCCTGGAAAATACATGGATGCTGGCAATGAGTGACTAGCTACATTCGTTCCCTTCCCTCACTCCCTCCAGTTTGTCTTTTGGATCCAACAAGTCAGTTGGAGGAAGGAGTTATGCGGGAAATGGCTGTCAAATCTGAACAGTTTCTCACTGCACTCTTTCTAAAAAACTTCAGAAATTGTCTATTATCCAGTTTACTGGTTGGATTGTGGACCAATTGTTTCTGCGTTGTGTTATCTCACCTAGAATCAACAGAAATTGATAGCATCTTTTAGCCCTGGAACCAAGAGATTCAATTTTGTCTCCTGCTCATTTGGAAAAGACAGGCAAAAAATAACCCCAAATCAGTGGGGAAATAGACTCTTGAATTTGAAACGAACCATACAGTATTATTTAATCTATTTATCTTTATTCTTTTTCTACCCCAGAAAGATAATTATCTTTTTTTTCTAAGACTCTCAAGAGGAGATTCTGTGTTTCTCTTTGACATCTATTCTGGGCTCTAATAAGATTTTTTTTTTTTTTTTTTGAGATGGAGTCTCACTTTGTTGCCCAGGCTGGAGTGCAGTGGTGTGATCTCAGCTCACTGTATCCTCCACCTCCTGAGTTCAAGCAATTCTCCTACCTCAGCCTCTTGAATAGCTGGGATTACAGGTATGCGCCATCACACCTGACTAATTTTTTTTTACTTTTAGTAGAGACAGGGTTTCACCATGTTGGCCTGGCTGGTCTTAAACTCCTGACTTTAGGTGATCTGCCCACCTCGGCCTCCCAGATTACAGGTGTGAGCCACTGCGCCCAGCCTCTAATAACTTTTTATAATTAGACAAGAAATTATTAATGTTTTCCCTTATATTGCTAGGGAAGTTCATTTCATCCTGTGCAATCCTTGGGGAAAAAAAATAGTCTTATCTCTACCTTGGCTCTTCATAGTATTCATTCAGCACATCTTTATTGAGCACCTACTGTGTGCTGGACACTGTGCTAGGCCCTGAGGCTGCAGAAGTGCATAGCACAGAACAGTAATGCCCCAGGCTCATGAGTTAGTGGAGGAGAGTTTTTTAAATTTTAAAATAATAAAAATTATTTTACATTTTTAAAATAATTTTAAAATTATGTTTTAAATAATTTTATTTAAATATAAAATAGTAATAAATAGTAATAAAATCATTTCTATTGGCTTTATATTATATATGCACTTATATGTATGTATCTGTGTGTGTTAATATATATCTATATCTATATGTGTAATAATGCCAAGTAGGTTTAAAACCAAAGAGGGAAGTAAAAGCGAGGTAATGGCCGGAGAGAGAGTGACCAGGGAGTATTTTTGATAGGATGTTCAAAAAAGGCATTGAGCAGGGACCTGAATCATGAACTGAGGGGAGAGAGTGAGGATAGAACCTTCCAGACTGGGGAGCAGCAAGTGGGAGGCTATGAGGGTGGGAGATTGGAAAGGCAGCTGGGGAACAGGATGATCTGAGGAATTTTCTTCAGGTCCTTCCAAGTCTTTATTTTCTCTGTTTTTTTGAGAGGGTAGAGAAGGTTGGCAGGGGCGTCCAGGCAGGAGAGCAAGAGTCCAAATCACCTCCCGGGTTCAAGCGATTCTCGTGCCTCAGCCTCCTGAGGAGCTGGGATTACAGGCATGTGCCACCACGCCCAGCTAATTTTGTATTTTTAGTAGAGATGGGGTTTCACCATGTTGATCAGGCTGGTCTTGAACTCCTGACCTCGGGTGATCCACTCACCTTGGCCTCCCAAAGTGCTGGGATTACAGGTGTGAGCCCAGCCTCATATGTCTTTTATCTGGAAAAGTCTTCCCTCCGCCCTGCCACCCCCCACCCCCCAACCTGATATCCATTTTGTTTTCTTATGTTTTCAACAAAGCTTTGGAAAATACAGGTACGTGAGAGCTATTTGCATTTCTTCACTTTCCACCCCCTTGTGATCAGCGACCCACTAAACATCAAATCCAGTGGAAAATCATGACTCATGATTTTGCTGAAATTCTCAGTATATTTGCAGTGCTTAATCATTCTCATCCTTCCTTTCTGGTGACATCTTACCAGTCCCCCTTTGGGCTTCTCTTTCTTTGCCTATCCATTAAATTAGTTTTCTATCCCCCTACATTTCATCAGCAGTCCACTTTTTCCTGGCATTCTCTCCTGGAATCTCACCCAGACTCACAGTTCTACTTAGAATTTAGGGGCTCAGGCTCCCAAATTGATTCTCCAGCCAAGCTTTCTTTCCTAAATGTCAGAATGAAATCCCCCTGCTCTTGCCAGATAGCTTACTTATCTGTCCAACAGCCACTTGTATTCAATGGGTCTAAAATAGAATACATTACCTGATAGCTTTTTTCTCCCAGTTCAGCTTTCTCTGTCTCCTTTATTACTTATACCCAGAAGAGTTGAATGGAACCAAATCTACTCAGTCACTCAAGCCAGGAACCTCAGCATCATTTCTCTCTTTTCCTTTTCTCTAATCCCCCAAATCCACTTAGTTACCAAGCCCTGCTGATTTTGCTTCACAAATGTTTCTTGAATCCCTTCCTACTATGACTGGTCTAGTTGAATCCCTAGTTATAACTTGCTGGGACCATACCAACGGACTCTTTTTGCATTCCTCTGCCTCTGGTGGTTTTTTTTTTTTTTGTTGTTGTTGTTGTTTGTTTGAGATGGAGTCTCACTCTGTCACCCAAGCTGGAGTGCAGTGGCGCTATCTCGGCTCACTGTAACCTCTGCCTCCTGGGTTCAAGTGATACTCCTGTCTCAGCCTCCCAAGTAGCTGGGATTACAGGCACCTGCCACCATGCCCAGCTAATTTTTTTTTTGTATTTTTAGTGGAGACCAGGTTTCACCATGTTGGCCAGGCTGGTTTTGAACTCCTGATCTCAAGAGATCTGCCACCCTCGGCCTCCCAAAGTGCTGGGATTACAGGTGTGAGCCACCATGCCTGCCCTGCCTCTGGTTTTGTGCCATCTCTCACCCACCTAACTCTATGCATTTTCTTGCTTCCAGCCCTTCACTGGATCAGAGTCCATTGCTCCTTACACGATACTCAAGCCATGCTACTCAGTACAGCACGTGGCTTCCTAGTGCAAATCACTAATACTCCTATAGGATGAATACAAACAATGAAAAAACTATTGCCGTGCAAGTGAGTCTTTGTGGCTCAGGATAAAATTACTGGTGACAGTATCATGCAGATTATGCAACAGCCAAATCTTAATTTAGATGGAAGTAAAAATTATGTGCTGTTGAAAATTGATAAGTCAAGAAGCGTTTCTTGTGAATGCAACAACACTAGCATCAAAGAAGCAGAGATTGAATCAAATTGTTTTGTGAAATGTCAGAATGTATAAAAGCAGTATTTGTTATTTAACGTATTTTTTTTTTTTTTGAGATGGAGTCTCCCTCTGTCACCCAGGCTGGAGTGCAGTGGCACGATCTCAGCTCACTGCAACCTCCACCTCAGCTCACTGCAACCTCCACCTCCCAGGTTCAAGCAATTCTCCTACCTCAGCTTTCCAAGTAGCTGGGATTACAGGTGCCCGCCACCATGCCCAGCTGATTTTTGTATTTTTATTGGAGATGGGGTTTCACCATGTTGGCTAGGCTGGTCTCAAACTCCTGACCTCAGGTGATCCATCTGCCTTGGCCTCCCAAAGTGCTGGGATTACAGGCGTGAGCCACTGCATCTGGCCATGTAATATATTTTATATAATATTTTATTTTATTTTAAATACACATCTGTAACTAAATTAATGGTTTAAGTATGGCTAATAGATATTTGGTATCCATATCTGCATCTCTAAACGTTTATAAATTCACATTGATCGAACCTCCCTTTTAAAATGGGCAAATAGAGATTTGCCCTGTATTCAGAGTCAGAGTTTATTTGGGCAATAGTAGAATTTTGCTTGAGTCTGAGGCCTCTTTATGAACATGTTTGACCTCTGCACACCATGTCTCTGCAACTGTATCTAGTTACTCCTGTCTACACTTTCGTTTTTTCTTTTCTTTCTTTTTTTTTGAGAGACAGGGTCTTGCTATACCACACAGATTGGAGTGTAGGGCCACAATCATAGCTCACTGCAGTCTTGAACTCATGGGCTTAAGCAATCCTCTCTCCTCAGCCTCCCAAGTAGCTGAGACTACAGGTGCACGTTACCATGCCTGGCTAATTTTTTCATCTTTTATCGAGATGGAGTCTTGCTATGTTGCCCAGGCTGATCTTGAACTCCTGGCCTCAAGTGATCCTCCTTCCTCAGCCTCCCAAAGTGCTGCCATTACAGGTGTGAACCACAACACCTGGCCTCAACACTTATCTTGGATGAAATAAGCTTAGAGCTGATCGAGTAGGCAAAATGATGTTGTTGCATGGGACTCTGAAAAGATCATGCCTTCTAAAATGTTTAGAAGCGTCTCTATTTAGGTCAGGGAAGAGGTTCCAGAAGGCCTTTTGGGAGATAAATGCAGGCAACTGTTGACAATCAACCACTAACCCCATCTGTTGGGATCAGGTAGAGCCATGTGTTTAGGCTCTTTTGAGTGGCTTTGTTCAGATCTATGAAGGTTCCTGGATTGAAAATTAATACGTTGAAAGTTCTGTATGTTTGTTCTTTCCTTAGCACTGTGGCAAGATACCAAAGAAATAGAAGGCATATTTTACATCTTCAAGCTTCTTATAATTTATTCGAGCTTAAAATGTGGAACAAAATAAGTTTAGACTCAGGGTTTCATTTTGAGTATGAAGGTTCTCCACCTCATGCACAGTATGTTCGTCCTAATATCTGTGGAATAGTTATTCAGTACTGACTCATACGACTCTGGGAAGAATTTTCTAGCTCTTGAGACATCTCAAATCACAAAAACAGAAAAATGTGTGTTTCTTTTTGTTGTTTTGTTTTTAGAAATAATGACTTGAGTGTGAGAGAAATGGAATTTCCAAGGCAGGATGGGAGCAGTGGGGAAAATATCACTTCGAAATTCTCATTGAAAACAATTGAGAAGTGGGGAAGAGTACTTTTCTTCACAAGCACATTCACACTTAGGGTTTAGGTTTGTATTTAGTTAGGACTGAGAGAACAAATAGAAGCAGAGATCTGCTGAGGAGAGATGGCACTTTAATAAGCAATTTTTTTTTTCGTTTCTAAATTTGCTGGAGTCCAGGCAAGCATGTACACAAATAGCCACAATTTGTAAATTGTTCCTGACATATTTTCTGCTCTTTGAATTCCCTGAATGCCTGCAATATAATTAGAAATAAGCAATCTTTTATATCAGTAATAGGAAAAAGGACATGGTTTCAGAATGCAAATAAGATGTTACCTAAACAGAAAATTATAGCATGGCTGCGACTGTTCTCGTTATGACGGAAGACGGGAAACTGTTGAAAGCAATAAGAACTGTGCAGTGTTGCATTCTGACATTTGTCTCTGCCTTTCAAAGCCACCTACTGCATACACAGGCACAAGAAAGATGATGCAGATGAAAGGGGAAGAAGGCAGAGCCCTCGGGAGAAGTGCTCCTCATCTTTGCGGCTGTTTCCTTAGTGTGGTTGAGCCCATTGGCTTGAAAACGGAGTTTCGATGCACTTTCTCTGTCCTGTTGCATAGCCCCTTTCTGATACAGACTGGAGGAGGTAGACTTTTCCAGGGGTCCAGCTTTCCACTGCGGTTGATAGCCAGTTGATCCATTCCTTCATTCATTATCTGATCCATTTATTCATTCACTCACTCATCTGATGGGTGTGTGATTCGTGCTATCCTGAACTCTGGGATGACATCAGTGTACCCAAAAAGACAAAGCTCCTGCCCTCACAGGACTTTATAGTCCAGTGGAAGAGACAGATAATAGACAAAGATACATAAGGTAATGTTATCTGGCTCTGCAGGGAAAAAGAAAAGCAGGGTACTGGGATGAAAGTGTGACTGGGCTGTTATTTTAGATCAGGCAGTCAGGGAAGACCCCTGTAAGATGATGGGTTTTGAGAAAAGACCTGAAAGATGTGAAAGAGAAAATGCCAAGAGTGAGTGTGAAGAGATTATCCTGGTCAGAGGGAGCACCCTAGGAGGGAGCACTCCAGTCAGAAGGAGCATCCGGGTCACAGGGAGCATTCGTGAGAAGGCCCTGGAGCTTGTAGGTGCTTGGTGTATTTGAGGGACAGTCAAGAGGCTGGTGTCCAGCAAGTGTTCCAGCGGGCAGGGACCACTAGCACTTTCAGATCTCAATTAGAGTATGACAGGAATCCATCAGGAGGTTTTATTCAGGGGAGTTCCATGAGCTGACACACATTCTAAAGTATTGTTTGGGTGGCTATGTGGAGAAGAGATTCTGGGAGCTGGCGGACAAGGGTGGAATCCAGATCAGCAGTTTGGAGGATGCGTTTGTAGTGGGGGAGGATAGCTTGAGCTGCAGAAAGAGTGGCGGAGTTGAATGTTGAGCTGATGGGATTTGCGGATAGGTAAGGACTCTGAGAGAAGGAGAAAGGAGGAGGAGGATTCTTAGCCTTTGGGATTGAGTGATTTACAGGGAGTGGCTGGAGAAAAACAAGTTTGGGTTGGAAGAACAAAAGTTCTGTGTCTGAGATGCCTCTGAATACTCAAGTGGTAACGTCAAGTAGGCAGATGGATTCATGACTTTGGAGTTCATGGAAGACATTGGGGTTGGAGATATAAATTTGGGAATGACGAAAGTCATGAGATTGGTTGAGATTGCCCAGGGGAGCCTGTGTAGGCAGGAGAGCGAAGAGCACTGAGGACCGAGCACCAGGGTCCTCCATTTGGAAATCGGGAAGTGGAACAGAATCCAGCAGAGGGAACTGAGCAGAGGTGTTGCCAGTGAGGATGCAGGAATACTGGGGGAGAAAGGTTTCTTGGAAGCCAAATGAGGGATGTTCAAAAAGAGGGGAATTGACTAGACATGTGAAAGAAATGCTGAAAGGATGAGCAAGCTGAGATCTGAGATGGGAGCACTGGATTGGGCCACATGGGCACCAGTGGTGACCCCGACAAAAGCAGTCTCAGTAGAATGGTGGAGATGCATCATGGCAGTAGGTTTCTCTCCAATTACATTCAACTCTTTGGCGACAAGTGCAGAATAGATGGAGAGTCGGCATTAAGTAGGCATATGTGTAGGTATTTGCTAGAGGGTGGCTCTAGCGAGGGCCACTGCTTGATGAGGGGGGAAGTGTGGACATAGGTGGGAGGTTGGAGTAAAAAGGTGGCTGGGCCAATGGCACAGAGGTGCCAGTGGTACTAAAGAACTGGATCCAGCGTTCACAAGAAAGGAGCTGGAAATAAATATAGCAGGCAGGTGGTTCAACACCTGGAATGCCTGCCATTGAGATTTTAGAGGTAGATCTGATAAGTAGTGCCCTTGGGATTAGTTGGTTGAGATGGTGCACAGGACAGGTTCATTGGAGGTGAGGCAGATGGCTTATCTACATGAATAGTGGCACCTGAATAATGCTGCTGGAATCTTCAGTGAATGCAGGATGGGTCTAGGTGGGAACTAGGTGATTGCAAGAGGTGAGCCCGTAGCCTACAGGATTAGAGAGTTGTAAAAAATTACTAATCAAATTATTACTCGCTTTGGAATAGACTCAGCTGCACAGAACCAATGCTTGATTTGCAAAAGTATGAAACTGGAGTTGAGTATGCAGAAAGCGTTGACGTTCCAAGCTTCATAGGAAGCTGTTTAATTCCAATATAGAGAGGAGGCAAAAACTGAGGAATAGCTGTCTGGAGCTGCAGGGAAAACCTATAAGCTGATTTTTAGAATCCAAATCCTAGTCCACAGGAAATCTTCCATTTCGATAACCTACAAGTATCATCAGAAGTCCTTGACACAAGTGGATAAGAATTGCTGTGTTTTGATGGTACTCTAGAAACATAGACACAAATCATTCAAGTGCTCCAGCCCCTTTGTCAAAACAGGCCTTTTAAAGGGATGATAAATCTGAAGAAAGTTAAGTATCCTACTGCAAGAAAGACTCATTTAATATTACCACTTTATATTTAATGATGAGTTCCTCTCGTTATGCATTTTTCTTTGTTCAGAAGAGCTTTAGAGTTCCCTTGTCCAGTTTTAGAATTCTGTTGTGATTTTGAGTGGAATTATGTTAAAGCTATCCATTTGAAAAGACTTAGTAGCTTTAAGGTTTCCAGTCTTTCTATTCAAGAATGCAGAATGCTGCTGCAGCGATTTCCTATTTTATATTTTTCAGTTTATCTCATGCCTTCCTTTTTATTAAACTCTAATGTTCAAGATAGATCCCAGAGCTTTCCTGCCAGTCTGCCTCACCATAGTAATATAGTCTGGTCCTTAAGATACTGAACATGATAGTTTAGAACCAATGACTACCTGAAAAATCCAAAGCGAGACACAGCGCAGGTAAATTTAATGGGGTGACTGTTTCTTTGTATTGAACATTAAATAAAGCCAAGAGGAGATTATTCACCTCCAGGTAGTCATAATTGCTGCAGTTTTAATGGAGCTAGATGTCTTCCAAGCTAAAGACTTTCTGAGCCACAGCCTTGCACTGCAGTAGATAACAGAATGGAAGGGATGAACGCTCTGAGGATTCATTGTTTGAAATGAAATTTAGAATAGTGCACTGGCCCTGCAAATGGCTGGGCAACAGTACAAAGACCAACATGGCCTGAGGCCATCCACAGTGACAACGCTGCTTTTGTGAGCCAAGCTGTGGGCAGCCTAGCAGGCCCAGGGGCACTGTGGTCCTTTATAAGGTTTCTTTCTTTCTTTCTTTCTTTTTTTTGGAGACAGAGCCTTACTCTGTCACCCAGCCTGGAGTTTTGTGGTGTGATCACAGCTCACTGCAGCTTTGACCTCCCAGCTCAAGAAATCCTCCCACTTCAGCCTCCCAAGTAGCTGGGACCACAGGTGCACGCCACTATACCTAGCTAACTTTTGTATTTTTTGTAGAGACAGAGTTTTGCCATGTTTTCCAGGCTGGTCTGGAACTCCCGAGCTCAAGCAATCCACCTGTCTCAGCCTCCCAAAGTGGTGGGATTACAGGCTTGAGCCACTGCACCCAGCCCAGATTCTCCTTTCTATGGGCAGAATTGGATTAAAGACCAGGCCCTACTTGGGCCCAACTTCAGTTTTCACACTATGATATTATACAGATTGCATCCCCTTCCCTCCACAATAAGGAGGGATGGAGGTGTGTATAATAGCCATCTTCATGGCTTTCCCCTGGACCAAGTCTTTTTGATGAGACAAGAATACATTTTTATTGGCTGTTTCTCCCTTACAAATGAATGGGATTCCTCGGTCATTTCTCAGTCAAGCCTCAGAAATTGTAGTCACCTGACCCTGAATCAGACACAATCCACCGGGAGAACAGAGACTAGAACCTGCCTTCCCAGATTCCGTGTAATTAACTGGCTAGCTTCTGCCACCATGAAACCTTGAAAAGCTTCAGTACTGGCGATGCTTGAGCATGTTTTGCATCATGTAAATACTACCCAGGAGGTACCTCAACTGGTTCAGTCATAAAGATGGCGCTGCACTGGGTCATCTCTGTGATTTTCATCCAGGTTTTTGGCAGCAGCCATCTGTGGTTACAGAGGATTTGAAGAGGAAGCATACTGAGAAAACAGAGCTATAGTAACATCCAGGCCTGTGAGGGTAGGTAGACTCCAGTGCACATGTGTTAACAGTAGGAGGCCTGCTCTGCGTAGAATATGGACTTGGCTGTGTTTTATGCACTTTCCACTCACATGCGCCCATGCTTATGTTAGGCCAGTATGCCTTAAGGATGCAGGACTGCGTGATGAACCCTCATGATAATTCCACCTAAAAGCATTTTCTCGGCCTGGCACGGTGGCTCAGCCTGTAATCCAACCACATTGGGAGGCCGAGGTGGGCGGATCATTTGAGGCCAGGAATTCGAGACCAGCCTGGCCAACATGATGAAACCCCATCTCTACTAAAAATACAAAAATTAGCCAGGTGTCATGGCACACACCTGTAATCCCAGCTACTGGGGAGGCTGAGGCAGGAGAATCGCTTGAACCTGGGAGACAGAGGTTGCGGTGAGCTGAGATCGCGCCATTGCACTCCAACCTGGAAGCTAGAGTGAGACTCCATCTCAAAAAAAAAAAAAAGAAAGCATTCTCTCTCCCTCAAGCAGGTTGTGTGAGTTTAATTGAGAAAAGCAGTTGACCCAATACTGCTGAAGTCAGGTGTTACTTTCCTTGCCAATGATTAGAGTTCCAGATGAAACTCAAGACTACTAGGTTAAACAGTTGCATAGAGTGGCTTTAATGAATAAAGTAGCAGAGCGGGCCAGCTGAATTCTATGGTTTAAAGACAATCTGTGTAGGGCTGCAACTCTTGGATTCGGTCCTGAAGTAGTCAAAGAAAATTTGCAGAGAGCCAGGAAGTTAACAATGTTCTGTGATAGTTGCTGAGTTCAGAAAAAGCTTCCTAATCATCGTACTTGGATTTTCTGAGCATTTCTCTTCTCCGTGTCTTGGATTGTGCATGCGTGTGGTGTGTCTCCTAAAGAAAGTTGAAAGAGCATTTTTTTTTTTTTTTTTAGATATAGGAATATGTACATTCTGATATCTAGGCTGGAGTACAGTGGCACGATCTTGGCTCACTGCAACCTCCACCTCTTGGGTTCAAGCGATTCTCCTGCGTCAGCGTCCCGAGTGGCTGGGACTACAGACGTGCACCACCATGCCTGGCTACAGTTTTTTGTATTTGTAGTAGAGATGAGGTTTCGACATGTTGGCCAGGCTGGTCTTGAACTCTTGACCTCTGGTGATCCACCCACCTTGGCCTTCCAAAGTGCTGGGATTACAGGTATGAGCCACCACACCGGCCCGGCCGAAAGAGCATCTGTTTTAATTGGTTCCCCAGAATGTCATATTCTGGAGTGCTCAAGTAATTTAGTAGCATTATTGTTAACAGTAACAACCACCTCTAGCAGATGTCATGGGATGGAGAAATAAAACAGACCAATAAATCCTGGCCAACACCTTCATATTTAGTAAAACTGAAGAAAATAAATAAGCCTGATCTGTGGCTGCCGAAGAAAAGCTAAAGAAATTCTGCAGCCTGTGAGGCAAACATACACATTTCTTCAGGCAACTGGGATGTTTTCACATATGCTACAGCAGATTTTATAAATTGGGGAGCTCTCTTGTTTTGAAGACAATTTAAAGGTGTCTTCTTGTCATTTGCCACTTAGAAATGTCCAAATCAAGAACAGATTTTGTCGTATTTTGCAACGTGTTCCATGGGATGCCAGCTCTATGAACTACTTAGTAAAAAAAAATAAAAATTTTAAAAAGGCTTTGTGGAAGAATAAGTTTGGGAAATGACATATATCATATTCTCTTTTGGTAGAGTAATAATACCCACTTAACATTTAGAGGCTCTGGAAATCCTACAGAAAAGAAACTTACTTAAAATTATTTAACCCAGAATTTTTCAGACATTTTAAATAGCTTTAGTGAGGTATGATTGACGTACAAAAAGTGCACATATTTAAATGGTACAATTTTGATAAATTTTGACATATGTGCATACCTGGGAAACCATCACTGCAATCAAGTTAATTTTTTTTATTGCTAAGCTGTATTTTGTTTATGGATATACCAAATTTCTTTATCCATTCACTTGCAGAACAGACATTTTGGCTGTTTCCAGTTTGAGGCTATTACAAATAAAGCTGCAACAAATATTTGTGTACAAGTCTTTGTGTGGACATATGATGTCATTTTTGGGGGATAAATACCAAGGAGTGAAATGGACCGTATGGTAGGTGTATGTTTTAACTTTTTAAGTAACTACCAAACTGTCTTCCGAAGTGCTTTTGGCATTTTATATTGCTACTAGCAGCATCTGAGAGTTCCATCTCCTCCATATCCTCACCAACACTTAGTATGGTCAGTCTTTATAATTTTATCTTAGGCCGGGTGCAGAGGCTCACGCCTGTAATCTCAGCACTTTGGGAGGCTGAGGCGGGTGGATCACCTGAGATCAGGAGTTCAAGACCAGCCTGGCCAACATGGTGAAACCCTGTCTCTACTAAAAATACAAAATTTACTGGGTGTGGTGGCACATACTGTAGACCCAGCTACTCGGGAGGCTGAGACAGGAGAATCACTTGAACCTGGGAGTTAGAGGCTGCAGTGAGCTGAGACTGTGCCATTGCACTCCAGCCTGGGTGAAACAGAGTGAGACTCTGTCTCAAAAAAAGAAAAAAACATTATCTTAATGGGTGTATAATGGTATTTCCTTGTATGTATGTATGTGTATTGTTTTGTTTTGTTTTGTTTTGTTATTTAATAGACAGGGTCTTCCTCTGTCACCCAGGCTGGAGTGCAGTGGTGTGATCATAGCTCACTGCAGCCTGAAACTCCTGAGCTCAAGCCATCCGCCCACCTTAGCCTTACAAGTAGCTGGGACTACAGGCATGCACCACCATACCTGGCTACTTTTGTTTTTTTTTTTTTGAGACAGGATCTCACTCTGTTGCCCAGGCTGAGTGCAGTAGCACAATCACAGCTCACTGCAGCCTCGACCTCCCAGGCTCAGGAGATCTTCCCACCTCAACCTTCCAAGGTTGTCTTCCAAGGGACTTCAGGTGGGCACCACCACATCCAGCTAATTTTTGATGTAGAGTTGAGATCTTGCTATGTTGCCCAGGACAGTCTTGAACTTCTGGTCTCAAGTGATCCTCCTGCCTCAGTCTTCCAAAGCACTGAGATTACAGGCATGAGCCACAGCCATTTAGTTTTAATTTGCATTTCCCCATTGACTAATGATGTTGAACATCTTTTCATATGCCATCATCCTTATTTATCTTCCTCTGTACATAAGGAACGTATGTATGTATGGAATGTATCTATTTTGTCTCTGGCTACTTTTAATATTTTCTCTTGGTCACTGGCTTCAAACAATTTGATTATGGTGTACCTTGGTAAAGTTTCCTGTTTCTTGTGCTTAGGGTTTATTCGGCTTCATGGATCTGTGGGTTTAATGGTTCCATCAGATTTGGAAACATTTGGCCATTATTCTTTCAAATATGTTTTCTACTGTTCTGACTCCATATACTTATGCATTAAGCTGCTTGAAGTTGTCCCACAACTCACAGATGCTTTGTTCATTTTTTAAAATTATTTTCTCTGTGTTTCACTTGGGATCGTGTCTATTGCTGTGTTTTCAAGTCCTCTGATAATTTCTTCTGCAATATATTGTTTTCTATTCATACTTTCTAGTGTATTTTTAAAATATCAGAGAGTGTCCTTTTTCTATATCTAGGGCATTAATGTGATTCATTTTCGTGACTCCTGTATCTAATATTTTGAACATGTGGAATACCATTGTAATAACTGCTTTCATGATATTGTCTTCCAGTTCTAACGTCTGTCAGTTCTGAGTTGGTTTTTATTGCTTCTTCTCGCCATGGTTTCAATTTTCTCGCTTCTTTGAATGTCCTTTAATTTTTTAATGGATGCTAGACATTGTGAATCCTACCTTGCTTATTTTTGTATTTTTATGAATATTCTTGGGCTTTGTTCTGCAACACAGTTAAGTTACTTAGAAATAATTTTATCCCATTGGGTTGCTTTTGAGATTGATTAGGTGGAGTTTGAGCTGTGGTGAGTCTAGGGCTGGTTAATCCCCTCTACTTAGGCAAGACCCTTCTGGGTACTCTAACCAACGTCAGACTGGTAGGAGTAGGCACTGTTCTTGGACCTGTTTCCCTGAATCCTTTCAAACTGTTTCTCCCCAAACTCAGGGAGTTTTCCCCCATGCGTGCACTAAGTACTCTGTTGGATCCTCGAGGGCTGCCTTCTGCATAACTGGCTTTCTGTCTCTGTGCAATACTGTCCTCTCTGGCACTTTGTCTTGTGTACCCTGAGTGCCTTGGTCTCCCTGACCTTCAGCTCTGTCCCCTCCACTCAGGGAGTCTGCTGGGCTCCACCTGATGCCCCTGTCCTTGCTCTGCAACCTGGAAACTATCTCAAGGCAGCAAGCTGGAACAATCACAGAGCTTACCTCATTTATTTTCTGTCTCTCAGAGAGCACTGTCTCTTATTGCCTGTCACCCACTGCCTTGAAATGGTTATTTTTGTATGCATATTTTGTCTGTGTTGTTTTAGGTGGGAGGGTAAACCCAGTCTCTGTTGCTACATCTTTGCTGTAAACAGAAGCTTCTAAACATCCTTGTTTATGAAAATCAGTTTTTCTCATCTGTTTTTATCTCACAGAACTTTCGTTCTATGGAACATAGATTGATGAAGATGAGGTTATAATCACATAGTTGGTCAGAGGGCTCTATGATTTTAATTAACGTATACCAGGCTGATTTGAATGATAGTCCCAGTACTACTCCCTGCATTTTCATTATGTGAAATGTATGTGATATGTATGTTTTATCTTCAAATAGTAGGTTTGGAGTTGAGGCAGATGTCATCTTTGACATTTTGAAAATGAAGAGAGAATGTCATACATGTTTTTAATGAATCTCTCTCCGTAATACTCATCCTTAGTGGTGAATATCATTCTAGAAATATCCAATTCACTTTATTCTGGTTGCATTGAAGGCTCCAAAGCACATACCATTGGATTTCAGGATTAATGTACTTTTTATCTCTAGTGCAGCATCATACTGCTATGAATGTGAACTTTCTAAAATTGCAGAATCAATGTGGTAATTTTTCTATTTAGAGGTTCAAAATCCCAGCAATTGCAGGATACAGCGCAAAGTCCTTAACATGACCTAAAAAGCTTATATTATCTGTCCCCTGCCTGTCTTTGTAACTCCATCTTTTAAAAATTTTCCCCCTACACGCCCTGCATTCCAGCCACAGGGGGCTACTTGTGGTTCCGTAAAGAATGCCTCATTTTAAAAACATTTTCTTGCCTATTAAACCTGAATATTCCCCCTGTCTAGAGAATCCTCGACCTTTTAAGTTGGTTCAGGCAGCCTTTCTTATCTTAAGATTTCTTTGACCTCCACAGCAAAGGTCAAGCATTACTTGCTCCTTTAGTGCCTCAGTGAACCGCATGAGCAGAACCAAGGGTATAAACACAGAAGTAGTGATGCCACTATTGGTTGGTTTCATTAGAGTTCATATTTCTTAGGAACTCTCCTCCAATCTCAGAACTCCCATGGTGTCATGAAAAACTAGTCCCAGTCTTCTCAAGATCCATTTTAGAGATAGGAACAGCTCCGAAGCTTCAAAGAGTCAGACTAACAGACCCAAAACCAAAGCAGAAACTCTTGATACATGAAATAGGAATTTCTTCTTTTTTAAATCCCAGGACCATCATGCTCTCTATGGTAGATGAGAGAACCACTTAGACGCTGACATTTAGCATTCTCCATTTATCTTCCAAATAGAAATTTAAGGAGCAGCAGTACAGATCACTTAAGATGCTAAGAATGTTTATAACAAATTCATTGTTCAAGAAGAGTAGAAAGGACTGTAACCCTGTTTGCAGAGGGGAATGGAGGATTAACGATTGCAGAGAGCGTTTGAAGTAAGAAGTAATAAGAATCACTAGGCCGGGCACTGTGGCTCACACCTGTAATCCCAGCACTTTGGGCGGCCCAGGCAAGCGGATCACCAGGTCAGGAGATCGAGACCATCCTGGCTAACACGGTGAAACCCCATCTCTACTAAAAAAATACAAAAAATTAGCAGGGTGTGGTGGCGGGTGCCTGTAGTCCCAGCTACTCGGGAGGCTGAGGCAGGAGAATGGTGTGAACCTGGGAGGCGGTGCTTGCAGTGAGCCGAGATCACGCCACTGCACTCCACCCTGGGTGACAGAGCGAGACTCTGTCTCCAAAAAAAAGAATGGCTAAGATCAGGAAGAACAGCAGAGACACCCCTCACCCCCAACCCCTCAACCTTATATTACCTTGAAATTCCACCGATGCTATATCCGGGTTTGTTTGCAACTTTCAAGTGGGTATTATTTCCGTTAGCTTTGGAGGAATATTCTTGTGATCACGCAATCAACCATCATGATAGAGCCTCATGCACTGTTTAGGAACCAGTTTTCGGAAAGAATCAAGATCTGTGAGTCATTCTCTCATTTATCTACATAAAACTATTGGAAGAAGCAGCTCATTAAGCTAAAATGTATTCCATTTCTCTAGGCGTATGAAGGCATCAGGTGACAGCACTGCTGCCCTCAGGGTCTCCTAGTGAAAGACTACAGATGAAGCCCTGTGGGGTTCTGTAAGTTCAGTCTTTGAATTCCGAGAATATCCTGTCATTTTGGGTCTATCTCAAAAAAAAAAAAAAAAAAAGAGAGGGTCAATCTTGCTGATTTATGTTGTTGTTGGTGTTTTGTTTTGTTTTGTTTTTTGAGACGGAGTCTCACTCTGTCACCCAGGCTGGAGTGCAATTGTGGATCTCAGCTCACTGCAAGCTCTGCCTCTCAGGTTCACACCATTCTCCTGCCTCACCCTTCCTAGTAGCTGGGACTACAGGCACCTGCCCCTACACCCAGCTAATTTTTCTATTTTTAGTAGAGACCGGGTTTCACCGTGTTAGCCAGGATGGTCTTGATCTCCTAACCTCATGATCCGCCCGCCTCGGCCTCCCAAAGTGCTGGGATTACAGGCATGAGCCACCGTGCCTGGCTGATTTTTTTTTTTAACTCTATAAAGAGCTTGCTTTCTTTTTTTGTGTTTTGTTTGTTTTTTTGAGATAGAGTCTTGCTCTGTTGCTCAGGCTGGAGTGCAGTGGCGCGATCTTGGCTCACTGCAACCTCTGCCTCCTGGATTCAAGCGATTCTCCTGCCTCAGCCTCCCAAGTAGCTGGGACTACAAGTGCCCGCCACCAAGCCCAGCTAATTTTGTATTTTTAGTAGAGATGGGGTTTCAGCATATTGGTCAGGCTGGTCTCATACTCCTGACCTCAGGTGATCCACCCACCTTGGCCTCACAAAGTTCTGGAATTACAGGTGTAAGCCACCGTGCACGGCCAGAACTTTCCTTCTTTTGTGATATTTATTCAGAGAATATGTGTCATATGTCCACTATGTACTTCCTGACCTCACCCTTATGGCTTGCAGAGTAGTAGTGGAAACAGATATTAAATTAACACATGGAAATACACTTTTGCCTATAATTTGTGAGGATTATCATGAAAGAAATGAACAAGGTGCCAGAATTAGGACCTGAAAGAGACCTACTTTATTCTTTTAAACTACAACTTGATTAATTTTACAGAAACAATGCCTGCTTTTTAAAATAAAATTTAAGCAACATAGAGGGTTCAGAGAAGAAGGCAAGAAATCTCCCCAAGTGCCACCCCTCCAGACCCAGAAATCATATGAACATTCTTAAGACACAGTTCTCAACATCTGCCTCTGCATAGTTACATGCAATTTACAAAATAAGTATTAAATTTGATTTTACTTGAATTTAACTAAAGCATAAGAATCTGAAATATAAAGAAATTGCTAAACTTTAAATATCTCTTCACCAAAAGAAATATTCATTCAAAAAAAGAACCATTAAAGGTAAGAAAAAATAGTATGAACACCATGAAGAAGCTGGAGTTGTTATGCTTAAACAATATAGAGTAATTTTGTATACAGTTGACCCTTGAACAACATGGGGGTTAGGGACACCAAACCTCTGCACAGACAAAAATCCACATGTAACTTTTGACCCCCAAAAACTTAACTACTAATAGCCTACTGTTGACCAGAAGCCTTACTGCTAACATAAACAGTAGATTAACACATATTTTGTATGTTAGTTGTATTACATACTGTATTCCTACAATAAAGTATGCTAGAGAAAAGAAAATGTTATTAAGAACGTCATAAGAGAAAACATATTTACTGTTCATTAAGTGGAAGTGGATCATGAAAGTCTTCATGCTCATCATCTTTTTTTTGAGACAGAGTCTCACTCTGTTGCCAAGGCTGGAGTGCAGTGGCACGATCTTGGCTCACTGCAACCTCCCCCTCCTGGGTTCAAGCAATTCTCCTGCCTTGCCTCCTGAGTAGCTGGGATCACACGTGTGTGTCACCACACCCGGCTAATTTTTGTATTTTTAGTAGAGACGGGGTTTTACTGTATTGGGCAGTCCGGTCTCAAACTCCTGACCTTAGGTGATCCGCTCGCCTTGGCCTCCGAAAGTGTTGGGATTACAGGCATGAGCCACCACACCTGGCCAGTCTTCTCATTGAGTAGGCTGAGGAGGAGAAGGGGCTGCTCTTGCTGTCTCAAGGGTGGTAGAGGCAGAAGAAAATCCGTGTCTAAGTGGACCTCCCACCCACAGTTGAGACCCGTGTTGTTCAAGGGTCAACTGTGTTATGGAATGAGTCCTTGCTGCAGAAATATACTTTTTCCTGCCCCCTTTCCTCCAGCTCCAGATTATGTATTTGTGTTAATTCTATTTGCTTGGGATTCATAATATTTGCATCCTTGTCTGCCTGTTTTGCCCTATAGAAATGCACTCATTGGTGACCACAGCTTCTGCTATGAAGGTTTCTCTGTTCCTCAGTCTCTGTTGAATCACTTCCTGGATGAGTGGATTGATCACAAAGCCCTCCTGCATTCTTGCATGCTTAGTGTAGGACTATTTAAGAATAAAGCTGCTGTGGACATTTGTTTATAAGGTTTTGGGGGAAACATGTTTTCACTTGTTTTTAGAAAATACCTCAGAGTAGAATTGCTGAATCCTCAGATGCAGGATTCTTATATTTTATAAGAAACTGTCAAAAAGTCTTCCAAAGTGGTTGTGCTATTTGACACTTCTACCGGCAGCGTGTGAGAGTTCCATTTGTTTCACATCCTTGTCAACACTGGGTGTTGCCAGTCTTGTTCACTTTAGCCATTGTATATTCCAGCGTGTAAGAAATAGTATCTTTTAGTTTTTGTTTATATTTTCCTGAGGACTGAGACGTTCAGCACATTTTGTTGTTGTTATTGTCCATTTGTATATATATACTTTTATGAAGCATCTAATTCTTTTCCCCCTTTTTAGTAGGTCATTTGTCTTTTTATTATTGATTTGTAGATGTTCTTTATATATTCTGGATGCAAGTCCTGTTTCAGGTATACGTATTGTGATTTTTTTTTTTTCTTTTTTGAGATGGAGTCTCGGTCTGTTGCCCAGGCTGGAGCGCAGTGGTGCGATCTTAGCTCACTGCAACCTCCGCCTCCCAGGTTCAAGCCATTCTCCTGTCAGCCTCCCAGGTAGCTGGGACTACGGGCATGTGCTACCATGCCCAACTAATTTTTGTATTTTTAGTAGAGATGGGCCAGGCTGGTCTCGAACTCCTGACCTCAAGTGATCCACCTGCCTTAGCCTCCCAAAGTGCTGGGATTACAGGCATGAGCCACTGCACCTGGCTGTGAATTTTTTTTAAACCGATATGTGGCTTGCCATTTCGGTTTTTAATGGTGTCTTTTGATGAGAAAAACTTTTAATTTTGATAAAGCTTAATTTATCAAGTTGTTCCTTCATGGTTCACACCTTTTGTGTTTTCACTAAGAAATCTTTGCCTGCTCTCAAGTTGTGAAGAGATTGTTATATATTTTCTTCTAGATGCTGTATAGTTTTAACCTTAAATTTAGCTCTGTAAGACATCTTGCATTAACTTGTGTGTGTGGTGTGAGGGTGGGAGATCAAGATTTTCCTTTCCCCATTGAATTGTTTGGTACCCTTATTAAAAATCTACTGATCATCTAAGTATGGGGGCAACAGGTTGGGTCAAGAGCTCTAGCAGGGCTGGGCTTAGTGGTCCAAGTCCTCTGTGACAAACCACAGATGGAATTGTGCCTTCTTGTAGGCAGCGTGGCTGGAACTTAGCAGGAACTCTCCAACTCCTGCCAGCATCCCTCATCCCAGATGCCACTGATGTCTGGAGACCAGCAATGTGGCAGATTCAGGCTGACAAAAATCCTAGGCAGCCCTTAGAGCTCACTGGGTTCCATGCTTGCAAAGAATTCTTTTCAGGGTTCACAAGTTCAGTTAAAAATGCCACCTATCTGGGCCGGCCGCAGTGGCTCACGCCTGTAATCCCAGCACTTTGGGAGGCCGAGGTGGGCGGATCACAAGGTCAGGAGATTGAGATCATCCTGGCTTACACAGAGAAACCCTGTCTCTACTAAAAATACAAAAGATTAGCCGGGCGTGGTGGCGGGCGCCTGTAGTCCCAGCTACTCAGGAGGCTGAGGCAGGAGAATGGCATGAACCCAGAAGGCAGAGCTTGCAGTGAGCTGAGATTATGCCACTGCACTCCAGCCTGGGTGACAGAGCGAGACTCTGTCTGAAAAAGAAAAAAAAAAGCCATGTATCTGAACTTGGGTATCTCTGTTTTAAGAGGTGAGAGGCAGTCCCCTCTCCCAATTTTTCCCTTGCATTTACTTGTCTCCTCTCTGCAATACCAAGTTCTTTTCTTTTCTTTTCCTTTTTTTGAGACAGGTCTGGAGTGCAGTTGAGAGATCTCAGCTCATTGCAACCTCTGCCTCCCAGAGCTCAAGTTATCCTCACACATCAGTCTCCCAAGTAGCTGTGACCACAGGCATGCACCATCATGCCCAACAGGTTTTTTTTTGTGGGGGAGTAGAGACAGGGTTTCACCATGTTGCCCAGGCTGGTCTCAGACTCCTAGGCTCAAGCGATCCATCTGCCTCAACCTCCCAAAGTGTTGGGATTACAGGCATGAGCCACCATGCCCAGCCCCAAGTTCTTTTCTTCTTCATAAACCCCATGAAGAGTGGGGCGTACTTTGCTGTCCTCTGTCATTCCCCACATCGTGATGGATGATGGATGACAGATCATGGAGCCCCTGCTATGTGCCAGGCAGTGTGTGAGGAGTAGGGAGCTCTTAGGATGCTCTTAAACCCATTGTGCAGTAACAGACCAACACACTGAAACAGCAGGAGTTGCAGCAGAGAAAGAGTTTAATCATCTCAGGGTAGCTGAATGAGAAGATGGGAGGAAACCTCAAATTAGCCTCCTCAAGAGGTTTGAGGATGGGGTTTTTAAGGAGTCTGGACAAATGATGGGGTAAAATGTGGGGGTCACTGATTGGTCAGAAAGTGTAGGGTGAAGTCATGGGACAGGGAGCTGAAGAAACCACATTCTTGTGCTGAGTCGGTTCCTTGGCGGGGGTCTTCAGACCAGGTGGCATTTGCCAGTTTCACTGGAATTTCTGAATTCCTGAAGCAATTCTTGGGTAAAAAGGTCTAGGGTGAGAGATTTATCTATAGAAACAATGGGAGGGCAGGTGGTCAGCATGCTACCTGTCACTCAGCAGCTGCAGGGAAGTGGGTTGAAGTACACCAGGGCACCCTGGTCATGCCTAACTATAATCCTGCCTAAAGCCTGGCTTGTCATTCTTGTTCACCCTGTGAGGGTGGTTTTAGTAACACTACGGCAAAACAGACAAAACCTCCTGTCCTCACAGAGCTTGTGTTAGCTTTGGGCAGCAGAAATGATAATGAAGTAAAAAGAGCATGTAGAAACTAGATAGCAGTGAGTGATACTGTGATATTGTGAAATATATAATTGGTTTTCCTCCGGCATTCTAGCATACAGTTCCTAAAACCCATGGAATCTCTGGAGTTGATAAGAGAATCTTTTGTATGAGTGATAAGAGTATCTTTTGTATGGAAGCGAGATGGCTGGTGGCTGGGAGCCCCTAGATAGCTTCAGGATGGAGGCTGGTGAAGAGAAAGACCAGGGCATGATTAGAAGGTTGGGACTTTCAATCTCACCTCCTGACCTCTGGGCTAATGACTTAATGATTCAGGCTTAAATCATGACGCCTCCATAAAAAACCCAAAGGGCAAGGTTTGGATGAGTTCCTGATAGCTGAACACTTGGAGGTTCCTGGAGGATAGTGTGCCTGGAAAGGGCGTGGAAGCTCCACGCCCCCTTCCTATATAACCTCCCTATGCATTGCTTCCATTTGGCTGTTCATCTGTATCCTTTAAAATACTCTTTGTAATAAATGGTGAACATAAGTGAAGTGTTTCCTTGGGTTCTGTGAGCCATCCTAGTAAATTAATTGAACCCAAGGAAGGTCTAGTGTGAACCCCAATTTATAGTGGATCAGTCAGAAGCATAGGTGACAACCTACTACTTGCAATTGACCTGAAGTATGGGCAGTCTTTTGGGACTGAGCCTTCACCTGTGGGATCTGATGCTACCTCCAGGTAGATAGTGTCTGGATTGAATTGAATTACCCCCACTCCATGTTGGTGGGGAGAAATCCCCATACAGTTTGGTGACCAGAGGTCATAGAAGTATTCTGTGTTGATTTTTATATGAGAGTAGGGAAAAATATTATGGGATTTTATTCCTATATATAGTACAGGTATGGAGAAAAATACAGCAATAAAGGGGGTGTAGGGGATGTTGATGTTTTAAGTGGGATATTGAGACTGTTCACTGAGAAGATGGCATGTGAGTAAGGTCTGAAGGATGTTGGCCAAAAGCCGTTATGATGGGAATGTCTAGAGGAAGAGAATACCAGGCCAAGAGAGAAAAACAGGAACAGAAGCCCAGAGGTTGGAACAAGCTTGGTGTGTTCACAGCAAGAAGGCCCCTGGGGCTGGGGACCTTGTTTATTTTCCTAAAATACATGAAGACAATACCCTAATGGGCTGTCTTTTTCTGGAAATCCCCAAGAGAAGTGAAACATCCAGATACCCTTTCCAAGATGGTAGCAGAAGGTGACAGTGTCGGTTGACAGAGTCAAGGTCCCTCTAGGGACGGACTGCCCTGGTTCTGGAAAGGAGAGATCCCCTTGTGCCATTAAGAAAATGTGGCACATATACACCATGGAATACTATGCAGCCATAAAAAATGATGAGTTCATGTCCTTTGTAGGGACATGGATGAAGCTGGAAACCATCATTCTCAGCAAACTATCGCAAGGACAAAAAACCAAACACCGCGTGTTCTCACTCATAGGCGGGAATTGAACAATGAGAACACATGGACCCAGGAAGGGGAACATCACGCACTGGGGCCTGTTGTGGGGTGGGGGGAGGGAGGAGGGATAGCATTAGGAGATATACTTAACGCTAAATGATGAGTTAATGCGTGCAGCACACCAACATGGCACATGTATACGTATGTAACAAACCTGCATGTTGTGCACATGTACCCTAAAACTTAAAGTATAATAATAATAATAATAATAAATAAAAATAAAAAAATAAAAATGAAGATGAAGGCCAGTGCCATCACGTGCTCTGGACCTGAGGCGCCAGAGTAAAGCACGCTGTCCCCGGTCTCTCCAAGTCTGTCGTGAGACCATGGACCATGTTCAGCCAGCTCCTAATAGGGACATCAGAATCAGGCAGCTAGAGAAAGCCCTTTCACTGGGAAAATTGCCTGCAATTTCTCTGTCTCTCCTAGCTTCAGATTTTTCTTCCACCTTGATTACCTCTCATGAGCAAATGGGGGGAAAAGTAATTGGTAGGTTTCAATCAAGCATCGTGAACTGATTGCGAAAGAAAGGTTGAGGCCATTTTCCCCGCTTTTTGCCCATTTTAACGTGGCACTGGCCAGAATGAAAAAATTGTGTTTGAGGTTCTAATTGCCCACCCTTCAAAGGAGTCAGGAAAATGGGCTGTAATATAAAGCCGCCAATAATTTTGCCTTGTGAATTACTATTCAGAGACCCAGTGTCATGAATGTTCTTGAAGCAAAGAGAGGTGAGAGAGAAAGGCAGTTAGATTGGAAAGACAGGAACATTTGATCACAAAGCCTTTTCTGGCATTTTCCCTCCAAAGCACACACCTAACACACACCATCATTTTTTATAACTTGAGGCTTACAATGATCTAAAGAAAAGGGAGTGTATGTGTGTGTGTTGGTGCCCTTCTTTATAGAGATGATGATTCTTTTGGCTCTTTTGATAAGATGATGCTTAATTAGATTTTATCTAACCCAGGTGGGACACTAACCTACATTATGCATTTTTTCTTAGCCTACCTTGTAGCCAAGGACCTGCATTTGCTGGGTGCCTGGCTAGGGCCTGGGAGCTTATTTTGTGGTTGTGGGCACAGGGAAATTGGAGTGGTTTCTGTAGGCTCTAAGTGTTACTGAAACCAGGGGTTTGGTCTAGGTCTTGTTGCTTGCTGCACAGAAAGCCAATCACTGAAACAGTGGGTACTTCCAGGAAAGGCCTTAATCAGGTGTTGCAGCTGAGGAGATAGGAGGTCAGTCCCAAATCCTTCTCTTCAACTGACTAAAATTAGGGGGTTTATATAGCAGGGAAGAAATGGAACCATGTGTGGGGAAACAGGAATTAGGGAGGAGTAGAGGAGTTGGTCAATAGGAAGCACATGATCAGTTAGGTGATCATGACAGGTGAGGGGTTTCATTGTCCAGATGCAGTGATTGGTAAGTTTCAGCTCCATGATACTATCTAGGCACTAGGTGGTTGGTTTTCTGAGAAAGGAACTCAGATAAGACGAATGTAACTTTCTCAAGTTTTAAGGCTGGGAGGGTCCATTTCTGTGTTTATTCAAAAGAAACCATAAATATCAGTTTCATGCAACAATTAGGCCTGTTTCATAAGTTCCTGTGATTGTGATCTTGCTAGCACTATGTTCTAACAAGCAGAGACAAACTTTTGGAACTTAACAACATGCTTCCTTGGCTTCTTTGTACTTGACTTTGGCTTTGGGGCCAGGGGATATGAAGCATTTGACCATTGCCCATTTCTCCCCTAAGTATTCTACAATAGCTCTTTATTTTTTATTTGACCACCATAATCCAATTTCTGTTTCCACCCATTGATCTTGATGGAGGCTTTTGGGCATGGCAGAGCATGGTTATGTCCCAAAATCACAAGAAGGAAACATTCCAGGTTTAACTTTGACACTCCCATGACTGGTCCCACAGAGCAGGGCTACCCTATAAGGCAGTGTGACAAGAGTAGCAGCTCAGGGCAGTTTTGCAGTTATATTTATAACCTACTTTTAATTACATTTAGATTAAGGGGCATTATATACAGAAAATCCTAGGAAAAGGGTGGCAGCTTTTGGGTCATTGGGTCATTGCCATGGAAAGGGGTGGTAGCTCCAGGATGTTGCCATGGCAGTGTTAAGCTGATATGGCACACTGGGTGGACATGTCTAATAGAAAGCTGCTTCCACCCTGCCCCTGTTTTAGCTAGTCCTCAGTTTGGTCCCGTGACTGAGCCTCGCCTTTGGAATCAAGTCCCACCTCCTTCCTCAGAAGGAGGGTCTGACACAGTAAGCATTGAAAGTGCTCTAAGGGAAAAGAAAGAAATAGATTAGAAAAGAAACAATGACTCCAAATTAGATCATCGTTAATAAGTAAATGCATGCGAACTGGGAAATCAACCAGAGCCACATGAATGTAGGATGACAGACACACGCATAAACATGCACAGCCATGGGTGCCTTTGTGGGAGATGAGGAAGGGAAGGGTGGACAGATTGTTGGAGCATTTGGCATCAGTGGGTTTGAATAGCTTTTCCATAAAACTCTGTCTCACTTTGCAAATTAGCTGGACAACCTCAGGGGGTTCCAGAATCCCGCTGGCTTCCTGGGAAGTCCTCAGGTAGGTAACAGCTGTGTTCAGAAAGGTGGCTGTCACCCTGGCCATTATGAAAGCTTCATCTTTCTCCATTGGCAGTTCTTGGGGACATGAAAAATGCTCCACTCTGCCTCGGTATAATTAAACTTTGGGCTGAAGTTTTACCCTTAGCCTTGCTGGCAAATTCAATAATGATGAATTAATTGGAATATTTACAGTGTTAATGTGAACAAGATTTAAAATAATATACACAGCTCACTTCCTTACATTTCTTGTGACTTCCTCCCCTTTGAAAATGTTATTTCTGCATCTAATTGCACCAGTTTTTTCTTCCCAAAATAACCCTGTCTCCTCTTTTTCTCTCTTTGCTGTGATTTACTCCCTGTGTTTCTCTCGTGCTGTGTTTGAGATATATTTGCCCATCTGAGTGTTTTTGGTTCTGGTCTCTCCCTCCTTTCCCCCAGTTTATTCAACCTGCAGCCACTGTAATATTCTTTAGCTTCATTTGGGGTACAAAATGTATTCCACTCAGTTTTCAGTGGGAAAGAACGAGGAATGACTGGGTCCCAAACTCTACAATCTTTGTCTTATTTCCTTTGTCCACAGTTGGGTTGGAGGCCCTGGCTGTGCTTTCTTCTTAGAGCGGGACAGGGGAATGGGCTTTTGCTGGCTATGGCCAATACAGACAAAACCCAACATTGCTACCACTTCCTCCTCTCCATCAAGGATACTTCTGCTCATTTTTCAGGGCTCGCTCTTTCCTCTCAGGGTGTTCCCTGATGATTTCTTTGGAAGCAAGGTTTTGAAGGTGACAGGAGACAGGAACCTGCATTTTCTTTCTGGACCGATAACTTCAGGCTCCTATACCAGGCTGTTCACCTGCAAAATGGGAGAAGATTATAGGACCTTGAATTACCAGCAGCGGGGTTTTCCCCTCCCTCCTGGTGTCAGCTTTGCTCAGCATCCCTGCGACAGCCTTGCAGATGGACGCCTCAGCTTCTTGTCCACAGAGCATCCATCCTAGCTGAGGATGGAGCTTTCCCACAAAATCATGAGAGGGAACTGCATGTCCGGGGTGGGAGAGAAGGAACAGAGACAGTTCTACATCGGGCAGGAAACCCAGAGTGGACTCTGGATTTTCTCTTTGCTTTGGAGCAAAAATCATTTATGCTCACCAGTCCCAGGTGATTACTTTCCCTTGGCAAACATTTAAGTGATCATTTCTTACCTTGTCTCCTATTATACTGTCAACCATTAAGACTTTATTGCAACTGTGGTTTTGTCTTCATCAAGGAAGGGTGCCTGTGGTTGGAAGGGAGTATATTAGTCGGTTCTCACGCTGATATTAAAGACATACCCAAGACTGGGTAGTTTATAAAGGAAAGAGGTTTAATGGCCTCACAGTTCAGCGTGCCTGGGGAGGCCTCAGGAAGCTTACAGTCATGGTGGAAGGCACCTCTTCACAGGCAGCACAAGAAAGAGTGAGAGCTGAGCAAGTGGGGGGAGCCCCTTATAAAACCATCAGATCTTGTGAGAAGGAATCACGAGAATAGCATGGGGGAAACTGCCCCCATGATTCAGTTATCTCCACCTGGTCCCACCCTTGACACATGGGGATTATTACAATTCAAAGTGAGATTTGTTGCGGGGGTGGGGACACAGAGCCAAACCGTTTCCGGGAGCGAAACCCAGTTCAGACCAGCTAAAGGAGGAAGGCAGAATATATTCCAAGGAAACAATCCAAGGGCAGTGTGCTAAGTTGAGTCTCATGGGGTGCTAGAGTCAGGGGGTGGGAAATTGAGGGCACGTGTTCACATATTCTCCTTTGCCTCCCACCAGGGTCTCTTTTTTCTGTTTTCCATCAGCTCTCTTCATTCTGCAAACCTGCTTTCTTAGTGCAGTTGACTGATGCCCAGAAAAGCCAAACACTTAATGGCAAGAGTTGCAGAAGAGAAAGAGTTTGATAATTATAGGGCCAGCCAAGTTGGAAGGATGGGAGATGTATCTCAAGTCCTCCTCCTCACATATTTGGAGGCTAGAGTTTTTCAAGGGTAGTTTAGCAGGCAGAGGGCTAGGAAATGGATAAGGTGATTAGTTGGCTCAGGGATGAAATCACAGAGGGTTGAAGCTATCTTCTTGTGCAGAATCAATTTCTGGGTAGAGGTCACAGGACCCAGCTGAGTCAGTTTCTTGGTATAGGTTTCCCATCCAGGTGGTGCCAGCCGGTCCATCAGAACGTGAGGTCTGAAAAACACCTCAAATACCAGTCTTAGGTTTTATAATAGCGATGTTAAGAATAGGAGCAACTGGGGAGGTTATAGATCTTGTAACCTCCAGCTATATGAGTCCTGAACCATAATTCTTTTTTTTTTTCTTTTTTTTTTTTTTTGAGATGGAGTCTTGCCCCTGTCGCCCAGGCTAGAGTGCAGTGGCGCGATCTCGGCTCACTGCAAGCTCCGCCTCCCGGGTTCACGCCATTCTCCTGACTCAGCCTCCGAGTAGCTGGGACTACAGGTGCCCGCCACCACGCCCGGCTAATTTTTTGTATTTTAGTAGAGACAGGGTTTCGCCATGTTAGCCAGGGTGGTCTCGATCTCCTGACCTTGTGATCCACCTGCCTCAGCCTCCCAAAGTGCTGGGATTACAGGCATGAGCCACTGCACCCGCCCCTGAACCATAATTCTAACCTGGTGGCCAATTGGTTAGTTTTACAAAGACAGTTTCAGTCCCCACAACGGAGGGGGTGGTTAGTTTTGGCAAGGGACTGTTATCATCTTTGTTTTAAAGTTACACTAGAAACTAACTTCCTCCTGTAGCTAGCTTGGCCTATGTCCAGGGATGACAGCTTATGAGGTTAGAAGCAAGATGGATCAGCTATGTAAGATTTCTATCACTGTCATAATTTTCGCAAAGGCAGTTTCATCAGCTTTTCGGTGCCATAGCCAGTTAGGAGCTACGCCACTGCCCCCACGTTGTTACATCCTTATTTCGAGAGACCAGTTGAGTCTGAGAATCTGGCAGAGTTGGGTGGGTTGTACCCGTCTGTCGAATCTGAGAATCTGGCAGAGTTGGGTGGTTTGTACCCATCTGGCCCTGATGACCTTCCAACGCCCCTGGGGATCAGAGTGGAGCTCAGCTGTATCCTAGGGTTTCCTATGTGTGAGGATGTGGATGCGCTGTGGGTGGCAAGCTAGGGACACACCCCAGAGGGTCTGTAAATCCAGGGATGTGGGTCTTGGCTTCCAACTCCCTCCACTCCTGGGACTTTGCTGGGTTGGAATCACCTGCCCTCCCCAGGCACTGGGACAGGAGCAGACACCATCATAGACATTACTCTCTTTACCTCTTGTATAGGAAAAATCATTGCCTTTATACTATCACTCAACACAGAACGTTTCTGTGACCAAATGTGTGCAGTGTTCCTACACCAAGCAATTCTCCAGTTTTGTAAGGACACCAGCTGAGTGTCCTACAATTGAATTCAATTCTGCCACTGTGTACCTGGAGACAGCAACAGGTCCCACAGATGAAGGGCTACATCCCACAAGATTGCCCCCACTTCAAACAACAATTACAGATCCAGGCTCTCACCCATCCAACTGGAGGGTAAATCAGAGGTCCCCACAACCCCCTCCTCAAGTTTGATCATTTGCTAGTATGGTTTATAGGACTCAGGAAAACAATTTACTTACAGGTAATCAATTTATTATAAAAGGACCCAACTCAGGAACAGCCAGGTAGAAGAGACACACAGGACAAGGCCTGGGGGATGGGGCACATGTCACCCTTCCAGCACCCCACATGTCCAGCCACCAGGAAACTCTCTGAACCCCGTCCTTCTGGGGTTTTATGGATGGGTCATTATGCAGGCATGATGGATTAAATCATTGGCCAATGGTGATCAACTCAACCTGTAGGCCCTCTCCTCCTCCCCAGAGGCCAGGTTTGGGTGTGGGGCCCAAATTCAACTCTCTAATCTCATGATTGTTTCCCCTGGCAAACAGCGCCCCCCATCCTTAAGGGCTTTCCAAAAGGCACCGCACACATGTAAACTTAGGTGTGATTGAAAGGGGCTTGTTATAGGCCGGGTGCAGTGGCTCATGCCTATAATCCTAGCACTTTGGGAGGCTGAGGTGGGTGGATTGCCTGAGCTCAGGAGTTCAAGACAAGCCTGGGCATATAGTAAAACCCTGTCTCTACTAAGATACAAAAAAATTAGCCGGGCATTGTGGCACATGCCTGAAGTCCCAGCTACTCGGGAGGCTGAGGCAGGAGAATCACTTGAACTTGGGAGGCGGAAGACGCAGTGAGCCTGGATTGCACCACTGCACTCCAGCTGGGGCAACAGAGAGACTCTGTCTCAGAAAAACCAAAAAAAAAAAAACAAAAACAAAACAAACAAACAAAAAAAACCAAAAACCAGAAAAGGGCTTGTTATGAATAACAAAAGACTCTCCTTTATTCCTTTATTGTTCCTATCACTTAGGAAATGTACAAGGATTTTAAGAGCTCTGTGTCAGGAATCAAGATGAAGACCAAAATATGTAATTCTTATTCTATCACAGTATCATACCTCTCCACCTGCAGATCTCTGACTGATGGCCCTTAACATTGCGGCAGCCAGGGAAGAGGGGATTGCCAAAGATAATTAGATGAAGGATAACATAGGCTCATTAGCAGGCAAACCTTTTCCAGTTAAAAGATAAGTAAGACTGCAAAAGGATGCTTGAGGCAAATCCGTAGCAACATTATCTTGGAGCTACTTACCAATTGGCCACAAATCTGCAGGAGAGCGTGGCCTGTAGAGGAATGGGGAGAGGGGTCTCTGCATCTGGAGAGCATCTGGGGCTGTATGAGACCAACACCAGGTCTTGGCTGCTTGCTTTGCTTTGGCAATGACCTAAGATTGAAAATGGATGAGTGGCAATTTGGGAGTCTAGCGAAGATGCTTTGCAAATGAACACATTGCCGCAGGGCACCCGTTTTCAGCAGTGAAGCCAGGAATAATTTTCTATCTCATGCTACCTAACTCCTGGAAGTTATCATGAGACCCTTGCAGGTGGATAAACACAGTCTGGAGAGGAATATTTCTCCATTTGTATTGGGACAGCAGTACCTAAATCTGGGATGTTCAGAGATAATCTGGGCCTCTGCTTGTTAGGGAGAGGAAGAGGACATTCCCAAGACCTTAGCATGGATTGGCATAGAAACCAGAGAGTTCCACATGCATACACCTGTCTCAGATCAGGGTTTCTCAGTGTGGTCTGCTGACCTCGCACATTAGACTCACCTTAAGCACTGATTAAAAATGGGATTCCTTCCCTGCCTTGAGCCTAGTTAAATGAATGAGGTAGTTTTTAAAAATGCAGATGTAGAAAAATCTACAGGTTATGCTAAACAAAAAAAAAGAAGAAGAAGAAAAAAAAAGCAAGCTGCAAAACTGGATACGATCTAATTCCTTTGGGGTAGAAATGTTGAGAAGGACATATGCCCTGGTATTATAATATTTTTTTTCTAGAAGAATACATTAAAATCTGTGATCAGTTATTTGTGGGAAGAAATACTTGGGGGTAGGGGAGAGACAGTTCTGGTTTTTATTTCAGCTTTTTCTGTTCTATTTGCATTTTAAACACGAACATGTGTTACTTTCGTGCTTTCAAATGTCAGCAGGGATTATCCGGGCATGGGGATTACATGCCAGTTTCTTTTCTCTATGTGCTTTTTGTATTATGAAAATCAATTTTTAAAAATTCACTGGGCGTGGTGGCTCATGTCTGTAATCCCAGCACTTTGGGAGGCCGAGGAGGCCGAGGTGGGTGGATCACCTGAGGTCAGGAGTTTGAAACCAGCCTGGCCAACATGGTCTCTACTAAAAATACAAAAATTAGCTGGGCATGGTGGCGGGTGCCTGTAGTCCCAGCTACTTGGGAGGCTGAGACAGGAGAATTGCTTGAACCCGGGAGGCAGAGGTTGCAGTGAGCCAAGACCACACCATGGCACTCCAGCCTAGGCAACAAGAGCGAAACTCCATCTCAAAAATAAATAAAAATCCATCAATCAATAAAAATGCATTTCCCACTTATTCGTAGTACCAGATTCTCTGGGGAAGGAGACCATGCTTCCGTATTTAACATGCACAAGGTTTGAGAAGCTGACTCTGTCCCAGATGCTTCCAGATGGACACCTTGTCAAAAGCTGGGGCCTCCTCAGTCAGCAGATGTTCTCTGGGCTTCTTGTTACTTTCACTGGTGCCACTTGGGAAGGACAACATGGGGGGCTCGTTTATTTGGGGATGTCCATTTCAAAGGCTCATGCCTGAGCCTTATTCCCAGAAGAACCTCTGACTTCCTTTCAGAGATCAGCTGGAGAAAGCTCTCTCTTTTAAAGATCTCATGGGATTAGGTCAGGCCTACCTGGCTAACCTCCCTGTCTTAAAGTCAGCTGAGCTGAGTTTCGCAGCAGTGAAATTCATCCTATCCATGGGGATTATGCAAAGTGTGTACTCTAGGCAGGGAGAGAGGCAAATGTTGGGTGCCATCTTTAGAGTTCTGTCTATCCGTGGAACTCTAAAGCGAACATTTCTACATTTTTACCATTCATATAATACTTACTGAAGATTTTTTTTTTGTTTTTGAGACAGGGTTTCATTCTGTCACCCAGGTTGGAGTGCAGTGGTGGGATCATGGCTCACTGCAGCCTTGCCTTCTGGGCTCAAACTATCCTCCCACCTCAGCCTCCCAAGTAGCTGGGCCTGTGGCATGTGCCACCCCACCTGGCTAATTTTTTCTTTCTTTTTTTTTTTTTTTTTTTTTTTTTTTGTAGAGACAGGGGCTCACTATATTGCCGAGGCTGGTCTTGAACTACTGGTCTCAAGCCATCCTCCTGACTTAGCCTCTCAAAGTACCAGGATTATAGGTGTGAGCCTCTGTGCCCAGCCTTACTGAAGATTTTCCGTAGACACATTTTTGATAGATGCTATTATCCTTTTTATTTCTAGCAGTTGGCATCTATGTTCTTAAGTTAGCATGGCCTAAAACTTATTTCTTATGTTACATTCCTCTGGTTTGAATATTGTTGCTTTTATTATTTTTTCCCTCTGAATATTAAGGTTAAAGTTATACCAACCTCATCCAGATCATGCAGAGTTGGGGAGTTTTACTTATTTTTCTTTCTCTCCTCATTTTTCTATTTATTCTCTGGAATAGTTAGCATGGGATGGGGATTATTTGTTCCTCTATAACAAGACGGTCTTTACCAATGTTAAAAGTTAAATTTAGGCACATAAAAACTTTCAAGAGTTTATTTGAGCAGCGAACGATTCATGAATTGGCCAGTATTAAACCACAAGTGATCAGGGCTTTGCCCAGGGTGTGTGAGTAGGAAAACTTCTATAAGGTGTTCCAGGAAGCAAGACTAAGAAAATATCTGATTGGTTAAAGTGGAAAATCCCTAGTTAGAGGTTAGTTGGCAGTTTCTGATTGGCTAAGCTTCAATTTTGTTTTACCATTTACAGTGAGTTGGGTTTTGGTTTGCTTATGTAGGATCCCAAGGCACTAGGGTCATCTCAGCCTAATAGTGTTTCAATTAATTTTTTTAACACTATTAATACCATCTGGGTCTAGTGTGTTTGTGCATAGGTGTGTGTGCGTGTGTGTGTGTGTGTGTGTGTGTGTGCGCGCGCACTTCATTCAACACACCAGGGGCTGTCTTGAGGAACAGCCCTTTCTTGTGTGTGGGTATGGCCTGGCTCAAGATTTATACTCCTTCCTCGTATTTTATTTACCATGCATTTTCTTTTTCCTTTTTTAGTACTTCAGTGGATTGATTGATTTTTATTTTCCTCTTTTGATCCCCCTTACGCTTTATTAATTTGGAAGTTTTCAATTCAGTATCTTGTCTGTGTCTCCCTTTCCTTTATTTGTTTGTTTGTTTATTGAGATGGAGGCTCACGCAGTCGCCCAGGCTGGAGTACAGTGGCGCGATCTCAGCTCACCGCAACCTCCGCCTCCTGGGTTCAAGCAATTCTCCTGCCTCAGCCTCCCGAGTAGCTGGGATTACAGGTGCATGCCACCATGCTCGGCTGATTTTTGTATTTTTATTAGAGACGGGGTTTCACCATGTTGTCCAGGCTGGCCTCGAACTCCTGACCCCAAGTGAGCTGCCTGCCTTGGCCTCCTAAAGTGCTGGGATTACAGGTGTGAGCCACCACTCCTGGCTTCCTTTTACTTTCTTTAAACTTGCCTAGTTGACCTAATAACGGTGTTTAAAATTAATCTGCATCTCTCCCCTCCTCCCTACCAATCAGAGGACCTTAGAATGCTTTAATGTTACTACTTTTCCAGTATTTTAGTATCTCCCTTTGTTTGATACCTCCCAAATGAGTTGCTAGTATTGTTATTGTTTTTGTTCGTTTGTATTTTACAATCAATGGTTGCTTCCATTTTCCAACATTTTTGCTAATATCTTTGCTCACCATTGCTTCTTGTGTGAAATTGATTGCCTTTGATTTCTCTTATAATATCTCTTCACTTAGAATCTATGGGGGATTTTAGGATCTGTGAGGGGCTTTAGTTAGTTAGCTAAATAAAGTATTTAGCTCTGACTTTTGAAAGAAAAATCAAATTGCATTTAAATGTGTAGGTTAATAGAAATGTCCATTTCCTTTGGCACTTATTATTCTAATTAGTTGGCATTCATCCATCTGAAGATTTGTGCTTTGCATTGCATTCTCTGTAAGCATTATAAAAATGCACACAGCAGCAGCTTCATTTCAAGTTTTTGTCTTTCTCTCTGGTTGTGTATACATTTTTTTTCATTTGTCTTTAGTGGTTTTCAGTTTCAGTATGATGTGATTGTGTGTGTGTTTGTATGTGTGTCTATGTATTATTTATCTTAAGATTTGGTATACTACTTTAAAGTGAACACTTGTCTCGTGGAAAACAATTTTTTCAAAGACCTGGGGGTTGTGGGGGATGGTTCTGGGATGATTCACACACATTACATTTATTGTGTACTTTATTTCTATTATTGCATTGTAATAGATAATGAAATAATTATACAACTCACCTAACCTAGAATCAGTGGGAGCCCCGAGCTTGTTTTCCTGCAACTAAATGGTCCCATCTGGGGGTAATGGGAGGCAGTGACAGATCATCAGGCATTAGATTCTCATAAGGAGCATGCAACCTAGATCCCTCACATATGCAGTTCACAATATGGTTCGTGGTCCTGTGGGAATCTGATGCCACTGGTGATCTGACGGGAGGTGGAGCTTAGGTGGTAACGTGAACGATGGGGAGCGGCTGTCAATACAGATGAAGCTTCAACTGCTTGCCTGCCGCTCACCCCCTGCTGTGCAGCCTGGTTCCTAACAGGCCATGGACGGATACTGGTTCATGACCCAGGTATTGGGGACCCCTGCTTTAAACTGTTCTTGATATTGTCCATCTCTTCCTCTCTCTGATTTAGATTTATCCTCCAGCTCATTGGTTAGTCATTGAGCCAATATCCGACTATCTAATTTGTCTGTTGAGTTTTCAATAGAAATGACTGTGGATTTTATTTTGTAGTTGTTCGAGTGGGTTCGTCTGTTTTTTCTTGGTTGTATGTGGTTATTTTGGTTTTAATTTCTTCTTTTAGGTCTTGAATAAGGTTAGGCTGTTTTATATTGTTTTAAAAAAGAGCTATTACACAAAGGTTCTGCTTCTCTCTGTCGGTGGTGCCTGCTGACTCTCATGCATGGAGTGCTGATTTCTCTTAGACCTTTCAGCTTTTTAACGTCAGTCCTTCTCTGGTGGCTGCATTTTTCCTTGAGGGTCTTCAGCGTCCTGGATCATGGGAGCGTATTTTTTTTTAGAGTAGGTTTGCATTTGTTTCTGTAACATCCTTTGAGAGCCTCGTTACCCTGGAACCAGCTTTTATGTTGATGTTTATGGTGGGGTTTTTCTAGCCAATGTAGAAAGTAGAAACTCATACCCTGACCTTTGCAAGGTGTAGGCCCAAAGTTGTTTTTTTTTCGAGCAGTTTTTTTCTTCAGAGACCACATAGAAACATATGAGCATCCTTTTTGTCTCTCTCTGTTGGTGCATAATTTTTTCCCCCTATTTCACCTGTCTGCATAGGGGCAGAATTCCATGAATCTTGCATTTGTAAAATTTCAGCCCCTGGTGTGTGTGTTCCAGGGCCTCCCCTTTACCTCCATGTGGACAGTAACACCCAGGCCCCTGTTCCTGGGACCCATATTCACCCCAAGGCAACCTCTGAACTGGTTTTGGTGTTTAAGGCTCCGGTTTCTAGTTTCTCATCATTAATGATTTCCTTCCTTTGTTGCAAACTTGTACCTGCATTTAAAACATTTTTTTGTTGTTGCTGTTCATCTCACCCATCATTTCTAGGTGTTTGTAGAGGGAGATTTTGGTTTATCTTTATCCTTCATCTTGCTGGAATCAGATAGATGGCTAGTCAAAATTTAAATTTGCAAAACAGCCATGCTTTCATCTTTACTCCCTAGCTGGGTCCTTCGTGTTCTGGGCTCGGCCAGGGAACAGCCTTTCTTCTGCATCATGTCCTGGAGCTTCTTGTATCTTTCTCAAGACTTATAACTTGACATTTCCACAAATTCCACAATAAGATGAAAATACAAACAAATGTTCACAATCACCCAGACTGACAGGGAGCAGCGGGTTAGGACTTCTGTTGGGCTCTTAGGCAGGGAGGGAATTTTTTAGTGGGAGGACTAATTTTATAAGTGGTGAGTTCATCAGTGAATATTTTTGGATTACGAGCATGTTTATTTTCCTGTTCCACCTTGCAGAATGGAGAAATAGTGGCTAGGATCGACCCCAAGACACGTTTTCCATGTGTATCTATGGTGTTCAGAATCGTTATGTTAGGGGACTCACGACTGCAGTAACAGGGGACCCCGGTTAACCCTTTCACAGCCCATGGCTTATTTGGTGAGGCCATTAGATGTCCACCTTTAGCTGGGCTCAGCCTGTCCTATGAAGGACAGATCTGCAGGTAAAGCCCAAATCGGTTGGTCTGCATTTCTCACAGGGTGGATCTGGCTCTAGACAAGATCAGAATTCCCCGGGTTGCTAGGAAAAAAAAAAAAAAAGCCGATGCTTATATTCTGTCTCTGATTTGCCTAAACCAACTATCTGGTGGATGAGGCCAGGAAATCTGCATTTTATGCATTTTGTCCATATATGCATAGGCAAGGAATATGCATTTTAAATCTCCAGGTAATTCGTAGTCATAGTGTGAGAAAAGGTGGCCCCGGTGAGGTGGTGATGGCAAAGCCAATGCAGTCTTAAGAATCCTTTGGGCAAACAATTTCTTTTGAGATGGATTGGCAGTGAACAGAGAGAACCTAGGCGTCTTGGGTTGCTTTTTGCTTGAGTATGGTGAGAGGAGAGGGTTCAGTCTCAGTGGTTTATACAGTGACTCAACTTTAGAGATGTTTTATGGGTTTTCCCCTGTTTTTCTGTTTTGGTGGCAGAGAGGGATGGTTAAAGTCATTTGGTGACGTGAATGGAAAGGGGAAAAAGGAGGCAGGAGAAAATCTAATTGAGCATTAACTTCCTTGAGCTTCGTATTAAGACATTGCCTGGATTTCAATTAAGTAAAGCACCTTCTTTCCCATCCCTGGTTGCTCGTGCGTTGCCATGGCAGCAGGCACGCTGCAATCTGTAGCCCACCCCTACCACCTGCCTCTGGCATGGGCGATTCTACAAGGCTTACTGAGCCAGGACCTGACTGTCTGCAGACTCTGGTCTGCAGTGGCAAAATAAGGGACAGATGTCAGTGAGGAGGTCAGAACTTGCCACTTGAGGTGGTTTATGGGGTAGACTCTAATATTAAACTTCAAGAAAACGTGACAGGCGGCTGTGTCTGGGTGGGATATTGGGTTCCTGCTCACATACTTTGGACTGGATTTGGGAGCCTTATGAGTAGAACCATCACAGGTTATTCCACACTCACTCTCCCAGTGTCTAGGGTCTGAGTCCCTCCTTGGGTTTCCCTTGGGTCCTCCGAGAACAGAGTTTGTCAGAGTGAGTTGCATATGCTGACACTTGCTCTTGTGTTGCTCCTGGCTTGGTAAATGGGGGAGATTATGGAATCTGTCATCCTAAAAGAGATTCCAAGAAGAGGAACATGTTCTTGGCAAAAGGTAATTTGCTTCGTTTGGGGCAAGGTGTGTAAAATGAGAGTATAATGCCCAAGTGAAGATCCCCACTAAACAGTTAGCAAGAGGTCCGGGCTCTTGGGAGCCCAGCTTAGGAGTTTATTTTTAATGGGTTTCCTTTGTGTTTTCCCCTAGATCTATCTTCCTCCTCTGAATTAAGTTACCTGGAGTAGCAGTCAGACCTGCAGACTCCCAAGCCCTGCCTGGGTCTACTGTGGAGTCCAAGAATCTGCACTTTGCTCAAGCTCCCCAAGTGCTTTTGTGGGGTTTTCTTGTCGTTTGTTTTGTGTTTTGTTTTTGCATGCTCAAGCTCAAGAACCACTGTAAAATATCGTTAACTTGGGCTGGGCTCAGTTCCAGTCTTCTACCATACAGCTACTCACAGTCTGCTCCCGCATGCACATGTGGCCTCAGCTTCCCACCTTTCTTTGTGTAATAGGAGCCACAGGGTTGAATTGAGGATAATTGCCTCTTCATCTTCCAGCCCTGTGGTCCTTTTTTTTTAACCTTAGTGGGCAGTACTCATCTGAACACTAGGACAATCTGTATTTCTCAAACCTTCATTTTTCAGCAAGACATGTCTGCCCGTAGCTGAAATGGAAAGAAAACAAAGCTCTCAGCAGCCACCTTGCTCCTTCTCAAAACCTTTGCTGAATGGCATTTGTTTTCCATTAGGAACTAAGCCATTCTTTGTGTGTCCCTGTGGTCCTTGTCTAAGTAGGAACAGGATGGGAAAGGATGCTCCCAGCCTGGCAAACGTTTCTGCTCTGCTCCATTAATTCTTAGGGTTCACCAAGCAGGGTCCATTCTTGAACATCAGGGCAGCCTCCTTTGTCCTCATATTGATTTCACTAAGTCCCATGCTGTTTGATTTCTGATTTATTTTTTTCCTCCTGTCTCAGAACCAACGTTTTTCTTGGCTCTGTTAGCTCCACGCAACCTCAGGTCAGCCTTTGTCTGTCAGCCTCCCTTCTGACCCAACACTTCCATCTCAGAAAGCAGAGGCTTCAAGAATTTAGCCTCCCTGCACTGGGAGTCTGTGTGGAACCTTAAGTCTCTTGGGCATCTTGGCATAGCACTAATTGGATTCATTAAAAGAAGACAGCCATCTTTTGAAAAGGCAATGGCCCCTGACTCAACAAAAAAATGGCAGAGAAAGAGATGTATTTCCCTTGCTAGGAGCTGCATTTGAATGGGTTGATTCATGGTTTTGGTTTTTGTTTTTTTCAGGAACCAGTTTTCCTCCTGACCATTTCCTTTATTATCATTCATTTCATATGGACAAATCCATGGACCACAGAGTGGTGCTTGTTCTTCCTGGCAATTAGCTGTCTCATGCTATTTCATTAAGTTTCAATGTCTCAAGTGAATTTCTAAAAGTCATATATATATACAATTTTTGAACAAAAATCAGCCTGAAAATAGAAATATAATGGCTTAATGAAATAGCATTGGATATATATATATATATATATATATAATCTCCAATGTGTGTATATATATATCCTATATATATCCAATATATATATATAATGTGTTGTATATAGATGGTGCATGTATTTACCCATGTATCTGTGTGTATATATCTTATCCATCTGTCTGTCTGTCAATCTGTCTATCAAGCATAGTCTACTCTGGATAACCAGCCAGCCAGCATGCTTTAAGGATGCTAGCGACCTACTTTATTCCCATCTTCCTGGCTGCAACATTTTTTAGGAAGTGCAAACTTGTGTCAGTGTTAGCCTAAGTAAACGACATGAGAGGAGTGCATCCACTATTTAAAAATAAAAAACACAAAGTGACTTCATATTCCAAAGCAGTGTAGACTATCTTGAAGGGCAGCAGTCCCCTCCTTTTATTGATGGAAAATCTCTATTATCTTTAGCAGTGGGTGATCCTTTCTGAAGGTTGAAAATGTCAGCGTGAACATGGAATTTTAAAAAGTGTTGCTATTATAGCCAAGGCATGCTTTCACTCTGCTGACATGGAGAATTGGCATTTGATGGTATTTGAAAATTCTGCACCAAATCTTATCATAATCTAATTTTTTTCTCCTCCACCATGGGCCTCTTGCCCTTTTGGATTTAAGTTAAAATGGATTAGGTGTACTAGATGACATTACTCTTTCTTTTATATTTTTATAAGTGCAATACTAGTTCGTGGCAGAAACTAGAGAATGTGGTTTGTGTTGTACGTGTTATGTGCTAGATGGGTCCTATACCTACTCTCATCCACTCTCCACAACAATCCTGTAGAGTGGGTAATACTATTACCCTCGTTTGGCAAGTGCATAAACTGAGGCGCAGAGGGTATCAATGAGCATCCCCAAAGATGCATAACCAGGAAATGGTCGCCCTGATGCATGAACATGTATGGGCAGAAAAACAGTTGCTTTACAGTGAGTGAATGCAGTTGGCCCAGGTTCTCAGTCCCCCAGAATCATTGTTCCTGCTTTCTTTGCAATGACACCGATAGTCCTCCTTGTCAATACCTCAGAGAAAAAGGAAAAGAGAGAATCCTGAAGAAGTAAGAAAAGAGGAACGTGCACCAAGCCTGGTACGGGTTTTTCGCTTGTCTCCCTGAGCTGTGCCTGCTGGGAGGACTGGTTGCCTTTGTCCAGCATGCCAGCAACTTAGGTTGTCCCCACCTGTGCCCCCACCTGCCTGCACCTACCATCCTTTGATTTGATTGACAATCCCCAGGAGAGGAACTGGAGGAAATGACAGACTCATAAACTGTGCCCAACTTTTAATCTGCATGTGGGCACATACATGTGTATATTCTGTCTCGCACACATACACACACAGAATGAACATTCAGAAGAGATGAGTAAGGGGAAACTTCTGGGACTCACAGCAATTGTGGCTTTCTACCCTGGTACTCCTGGTGAGGGAAATGGTGGATCCCATGTCTGAATCACTTTTGCTGATCCTGTGAATGGGAAGATGGTGGCGAGACTAGCAAACTAGCAGGAAGCAAACATGATCTGCCAAGGGCACCCATCGTTGTGCAGGACTACTCTGTCATAGTGCTGCCTGTGGGTTTTTCTTTCCATGCTCCACTACCCACCTTCAACTCAAACCTTGGCAAAAGTTTGCCACGATCCCATTTGATTTGTGTTCTCTTTCTTTTCTTTCTTTCCTTCCTCCCCTCCCCTCCCCTCCCCTCCCCTCTCCTCGTCTAGTCTCTTTTCTTTCTTGATGGAGTCTCACTCTGTCGCCCAGGCTGGAGTGCAGTGGTGCGATCTCTGCTCACTGCAAGCTCCACCTCCCAGGTTCATGCCATTCTCCTGCCTCAGCCTCCCAAGCAGCTGGGACTACAGGCGTGCGCCACCACGCCCAGCTAATTTTTTATATTTTTAGTAGAGACGGGGTTTCATTGTGTTAGCCAGGATGGTCTTGACCTCCTAACCTCATGATCCGCCTGCCTCAGCCTCCCAAAGTGCTGGGATTACAGGCGTGAGCCACCGCGCCCGGCTGACTTGTGTTCTTTTTCATGGAGAAAACCCAGTTTCAGAGAATTGTCATTCTTCTTTAGTTGGGACCTCATTCTTGTAGTTTGTTTTTTTTTTTCCTTAACTGTGGTAAGTTTACCTTTGCGCTGAGTTGTTTCTTGAGTGGATTAATAGTATGAAAATATTGTTGGTGAAATAATTAGCTGATTAAGAAAACAAACTTTTCGAGAAAATCATTTAGCTGCATTTACATAATGTGTAAATTATGTGCATCTCAACGATTTGCTAATTACTCCTTAAGAGCTCATGCTGATTACAAATGAGCCCCACCCAATCTGTGAATGATCCTCAGAGCCTTGATATGGCTTCACTTTCCTAGGCTTGTAGGTAACACTAACACAGGGATTATTTTCTCCTTTAAAGAATACAGGTGCATCTGTCCACTGCAGGTTGTCTGTGACACAGTATATTTCGTAATGACCTTCACTCTCTCCTCCAGACAAGGATTGTCTCTGATCCTCCTTGTGGAAGGCTGGTCCTTGGGTGGGCCTAGGCAATTCAGTTCTTCGGGAAACAGAAAGGCTCTAGATAAATTCTCTGTGGATCATTGATCACCAAAAGATCTGAGTCTTAAAGCATCTTGAAAGTCCTGCTTTTATTAGTCTATATCCGGGATCAGCAAAGTATAATTTGCAGACCACATCTGGCTTGCTGCCTGATTTTGTGTTAATAAATAAAGTTTTATTGGAATACAGACACACCAGCTCATTGACCCATTGTTTGCAGCTGCCTTTGGGTGACACTGGCAGAGTTGAGTAGTTGCAACAAAGCCGACCCACAAAATCTAACATATTTTCTATCTGGACCCTTACCAAGAGAGTTTGCCAGCCCTTGATCTCTATGTTTGTAAAATAGGCCTTTGGATAAATCAATATTGGTCTATCAATAAGATGGGATATTGTGGAGTGAGGTTCTTAGCCTTAAAAAAGTTTATCAACTCTTTAAAAGATGTGCAAAATGTTCTGTGTAGGTGTGCGTGGACATTTTTTTCAGGAAAGAACATCCGTTGGCTTTCCTAATACATTTCCAATGAATTACAATATCTGAGTACCTACTATGTGCCAGGCACTGTGCTAGATACTGTAGCTGTGGTTGTGAGCAATGCAGGCCCAGGTACTTCTTCATGCAGTTTATGGACATGAGAGGTGGTGGGCCCAGAAGCAGATGACAGATAAATGATGTACTTGAAAATGGGAAATACAATGGAAAATCAGGCTGCCAAAATATAGCTTCCCACTTCATACACATGTTCTTTCTGCTATATTATTTAAGCTGAGCTTGAAGAAATAATCAGAGACCACTCATGAAGATAACATTTATACCACAGATGTCTCAGAGTAGGATGCATTGGCCCTTTGAAGTTCAACTAACATTCCGCCAATTTTTTAAGTGGTGATTTATAATTCCTGTCCAGCTCACTTTTATTATCCTAAGCACCAAAGCTTTCTAGAGGCCTGGAAGATAACTGGATGTGCCTGACTTTGAAGTAATTTGAGCAACGAACACACCTTTTTTTTTTTCTTTTTTTGAGACGGAGTCTCAATCTGTTGCCGAGGCTGGGGTATAGTGGCGCAGTCTCGGCTCACTGCAATCTCCACCTCCCAGGTTCAAGGGATTCTCCTGCCTCAGCCTTCCAAGTAGCTGGGATTACAGGCATGCGTCACCACACCTGGCTAATTTTTGCATTTTTGGTAGAGGGGGAGTTTTGCCACGTTGGCCAGGCTAGTCTTGAACCCTGACCGCTAGTGGTCCACCCGCCTTGGCCTCCCAAAGTGCTGGGATTACAGGCGTGAGCCACCGTGCCCAGCCACATCTTTTTTTCTAACAGAAAAACAAACAAACAAACAAAAACAAACCTTGAGTACATATTCTTAGTTCTCTGTTTGGCTACTGGAAATTCTGCGCTTTGCCCATCTTGACCTCTAATAGCTAAAGGAAATGTGGTTGAGAACCACTGATAGAGGAGAATATTTAATGATATGCAATATGTTCATGTTTTAATGCTATGGAAAATTATGCTTCAAAATTCAGCTGAAAAAATGTGTATGTGTGTGGATGTATATGTGTTCATCTCTATGTGGGCATATCCAGTATAAATATAAAAATATTAAGGGTTTTTTTTTTTTTGAGACAGAGTTTTGCTGTTGTTGCCCAGGCTGGAGTGCAATGGCGTGATCTGAGCTCACTGCAACCTCCGCCTCCCAGGTTCAAGTGATTCTCCTGCCTCAGCCTCCCAAGTAGCTGGGATTGCAGGCGCCCGCCACCACGCCCGGCTACTTTTGTATTTTTAGTAGAGACGGGGTTTCTCCATGTTGGTCAGGCTGGTGTCGAACTCCTGACCTCCAAGGTGATCGCCCGCTTTGGCCTCCCAAAATAAGCACGATAAAGGACTAAAAATCATTCATCACCCAGAGGCGACAGCCTTTAAAAAATTCTTAATCTTGGCCAGGTGGAAGCACGATAAAGGACCTGGCCAAGATTAAGAATTTTTTAAAGGCTGTCGCCTCTGGGTGATGAATGATTTTTAGTCCTTTATCGTGCTTATTTTCTAAATTTTCTCTAATGTATGGGAATTTCTGTATTAACAAAATATTTTAATAAATCTTAAGAGAAAATCTTTTAAAAAAATTTTAGGGCACAATGAGACACCACTTCCTCTGGGCAAATGCATTTGCTCCTCATTTAGTGGACATTCTTATTTTATGAGCAGTTGGAATGTGCTGTCCTTGAAGCTCATCTTGGGGAATTTCTTGGGTTAGAGCAGAATTCTAGAAGCACTGGCACTGGAAATACCTGTTCTCTCCAACTCACAGGGGATGAGTGATCATTTAGGTGGGCTGAGTCAGAGGCTATTGCTGCCCTGGAAAGGGGGAGTGTTTACGCTAGAAGTGGCCCTGAAGTCTATCTAATTTGGCTCCTTTACGGATGGAAGCAGCTAAGACCTTTAGGGGTTGCAACCATTGCTAGGGTTTCACGCAGAAAACTGGAGATAGAATTGGCCCATGGATTCTATGCAGTGGATTCCATGCAGTGGATTCCATTCATCTGTGTCTTTCTAAAGGGAGTGGAAGAGCTGGGGTAAATTTGATGGAGTCTAGAATACTGAAGGCGTAAATGGCGAAATACATGAATAAGGCTTCCCAAGGGTGGCTTTTCCCCTGCTCCTTCCTTCCTTCTCCCTCCCCTTTTCCTCCTCTGGCTGCTTAGCACCCACATCCCTTGGCTATGTTGGGGAATCTCTTCTTCTCCCCACCTTGTGGGTCTTGGTGGAAGGCAGACCTGCCTTTCAGGATAGAAGTTGGATTTCAGGCTGGGTGTGGTGGCTCACACCTGTAATCCCAGCACTTTAGGAGGCCAAGGCGGGTGGATCACCGGAGGTCAGGAGTTCGAGACCAGCCTGGCCAACATGACGAAACCCTGTCTCTACTAAAAATACAAAAATTAGCCAGGCGTGGTGGTGTGCACCTGTAATCCCAACTACTCAGGAGGCTAAGGCAGGAGAATCGTTTGAACTCTGGAGGCAGAGGTTGCTGTGAGCCAAGATGATTGCACGCCAGCCTGGGTAACATAGTGAGACTCTGTCTCAAAAAAAAAAAAAAAAAAAAACCACCAAAAAAACCCACCAAAGTTGGATTTCAGACTTCAGACCTTCCCTTTCTTGGGTCCTCTCCCAGCCACAGGTGACCTTGGCTTGGCCAGTCAGATGGACTTAATAGATGGGGCTGCCAGCAGGGGGCCAGCATTGTGTCAATAACCTAAGCTGAGGCATTTGATGTCCAGCACCGGGGACAGAGGTGCTGCCCCAAGGCTGTTGTCGTGGCATTTTGTCTGTGGAACAAGAAGCCCTGGTCTTCCTTGTCCCTGCCTGGGTTCCCAAATGGAATCTGCAGCTTCAAGAGGGGAAGCGCCCCTTGAGTCCCTCAGGACCCTTCTAATGGATGAGTAGCTGGTAAACTTGCCCAGGTAAAACCTCAGCTTTCCTGGCCTTCTTGTAACAAAGACAAGCAGCAAAACCTACATTTCCAGGCATGTGCTCGTCTTTTTCTTTTTCCGTCGTCCTCTCCAGTGATGATCCTTTGTTTGGCATCAGTTTTTTACATCCTGAAAAGCCAGAAAACCCAGACATCAAGAAATGTCTATGAAATGTTAGTGCGATTTAAGCCATTTTAGTTCCGCATTTTCCCTTCACTTATGTGACCTTTGACGAAAGATTCTCGTTTTTGGTGTAGTTTACAGAATAGAATACTATTTGCAAATACTGGCAATGTGTATACTGTCTCGATTGTAACAACTAACAGTTTTCGTGAATATTGTCATGTTTTGATTTCTGGCGACCAACTCCTAGGACAAGAGAGGAAGTGGGAAATTGTATAACTCGAGAGATGTGTTTGAGACATAGCCTCAGGGAAGATGCAAGAATTCCTTGGTTTGGGGGAATTTATTTTTCTGTCACCTCATCTGCTGTGGTTGCATTTGCTTGTCTGTCCGAATTGTGATAGCCCATATTCTCTTTTTTTTTTTAAAAAAAAAGAGGGAGAGAAGATTTTTATTTGATATAAGAAAATGGTTTCTGTCAGGGCAATTCAATTCGTTCCCACCTTCTAGTCTTAAATTCCTTTGCTGTCCCCTCTGTGTCTTTGAAACAGAAGCACATGTATCCTTCGGTGTCCAGATATAAATAATATAACTAAGAATCAAGTATATCCCTGTTCATTACCCTGAGACACCTAATGGGACAGTAATAGTTGGACTGAAGTCTGTTTAGGTTCAGAGGAGGTACCTGGACTAACTTGTAGTTGGGCAGTCTAAAACGTTGATGTTCAAAACTTAGTTTGTATCAGAATCATCATGGGATGAGTGTGGATTGGGAGGGATATGGCTTGAACAATGCAGATTCCTGAGTCTGTCTCCAAAAGACTCTAGTAGCTCCAGGGTGGGTCCAGGAGTCGGTGTTTTGGGAGCTCCCACTGTAACACTGCACCAGGTGGTCTTCACCCAACACTTGGAGATGCAGCAGTCAAAGCTGTTCACCCTTATTCTTAGAACTAGAGATGACAGAGCAGCAGTACCTCAAGGGCAAAGTGAGCCACATGACAATTAAGTTAATGTTATCAGTTGAACAGGAGCCCTGAAGTAGGTACTATTCTCTTGTCCACCTCCTCCTTGACCTGGTAATTGACAACCATGTAAGTTGACCATGGGGAGGTTGGGAGTCCACTGCAAAGCTCTTGTAAGTATTGATGTTCTCCAAAATACGCTTTCTCCAGTAATTGTGCTGGGACGTTTTTTGTTTTTTTTTTTTTTTTAAGCAAATGTCCTTTGCTGGTGGACCCTGCGGAAGCTATGATGGCCTCCCTCCCACGGGGCATTTGCATTGACCATGCATGTTCAGGGTGAGCTGAGAAGGAGTGGAGAGGTGACTCTGGAGCCCATGTGGGATTTGTTTTTAGACCAAAATTAATTCATTGGGAGTGAGCTCATGCTCATGAAATGGTTGTTTGTGCCTTTATGAAGTAGAAGAGCTCACCTGGTAGGTGGACTTTTAATATTATTAGACATTTTGGCTCTGTCACCTGAGAGTAGAAATTATCTTACTTAGATACTTGGAACAAGGAACGTTGAAGTGGGTGGTCTGCTTAATGGATGAGAAATCTTTAGCAAACAGTGAACCCAGTTTCTTTTCTGGTGTGCATTTAATTTTCACTAGTTATAGTTATGCAGATCTATTTGTATCTGTGTTGTCACTAAGCAATTGCTTATTCATAAGCATCAGAGGTAAGACATAGATGACTTTCTGTGCCTGGGAAAACATGTACTGACTACAATTGAATCAGCCTCCTTACACAGGCAGTGTTTGACCTTCTGATAATCACGTGGCTTGTGATTATCAGCGTGATAAATGGAAATATCTATTATAGTTAAAAAGTATATAAATAAGTTCATGATCACATCACCTAAACTTCAGATGCTTCTCTGCTTAAAGGTTAGGAACTAAACATAATATATACATATTTATTTTTATTTTTATTTTTTTGAGAGGGAGTCTCGCTCTGTCACCCAGGCTGGAGTGCAGTGGCATGATCTCAGCTCACTGCAACCTCTGCCTCCTGGGTTCAGGCAATTCTCCTGCCTCAGCCTCCCAAGAAGCTGGGACTATAGGCGTGTGCCACCATGCCTGGCTAAGTTTTTGTAGCTTTAGTAGAGACAGGGTTTCACCGTGTTAGCCAGGATGGTCTCGATCTCCTGACCTTGTGATCCGCCAGCCTTGGCCCATAATAAATATTTTAGTTATCTTTCTATGAAGTTTTCTTGGTCTCCAGTGGAATCTTCTCCTGCCCTGGGCTACACGTGGCCCATGTAGCACATCCTGCATAGATTTTACATGGAGATGAATATGTGGCTGCTCTCAGGGTAGAGTGCAGTCAGCTTGCTCAACTCCATAGAACTTGGTCCCTAAATTGGGTCTGTGGAGCAGGAAGTCCTGGTCTCCCTTGTCCCTGCCTGGGTTCCCAAGCGGGATCTGCAGCTCCAAGAGGAGAAGTGCCCCTTGAGCCCCTCAGGGGCTCAAGTAGAGTTGTCAGTTCAAATACAGGTTACCTTGCTACATTTGAACTTCAAATAAACAATGAACACCTTGTTGCATAAGTAGATCCCATGCAATATGTGGGATATACTTACACTAAAACAATCTTGGTTTTATCTGAAATTTAAACATAACTGGGCATCCTGTCTTTACTTGCTAAATCTGGCAACCCTAGCAAGGAGCCTGTCCACAATAGGTGCTTTGTATTTGTGTGCACTGATTACAAAACTCCTGTGTTGTTTACAAGAATTCCCAAGCTATGAGGGAAAGAAGATTAGAGAAGCTCTTGTACATCCTCTTCTTTTGAAAAGAGTGATGCTTGTCATGCTGAATGGGGAAAAGGTGGAAGCAATTCCCTTGGAAACCAGAGCAAGACAAGGCTGCCCTCTGTCACCACTCCTATTCAACATAGTAATGGAAGTCCTGGCCTAAGCAATCAGTCAAGAGAAAGAAATACAGGGCATCCAAATAGGAAGACAGGAAATCAAACTATTCCTGTTTGCATATGGCATGATTCTATATCTAGAAAACTGTATAGTCTTGGCCTAAAAGCTTCTTTAGCTGATAAACAACTTAGGCAAAGTGTCAGAATACACAAAGTGTCAGTATACAAAATCACTGTACAAAAATCACTAGTATTTCTATATGCCAACAATAGCCAAGCTGAGAACCAAACCAGGAACGCAATACCATTCACAATTGACCCCAGAAGAATACAATACCTAGGAATACAGCTAACCAGGGAGGTGAAGGATCTCTACAAGGAGAATTACAAAACACTGCTCAAAGAAATCAGAGATGATACAAACAAATGGAAAAACATTCTATGCTTATGGAGATAGGAAGAATCGATAGTATTAAAATGCCTATACTGCCACAAAGCAATTTACAGATTCAATGCTATTCCTATCAAACTACCAATGACATTCTTCACAGACTAGAAAAAACTATTTTAAAATTCATGTGAAACCAAAAAGGAGGCCAAATAGCCAAAACAATCCTAAGCAAAAAGAACAAAGCTGAAGGCATCACATTTCCGAACTTCAAACTATACCATAGGACTACAGTAACCAAAACAGCATGGTACTGGTATAAAAACAGACACATAGACTAATGGAACAGAATAGAAAACCCATATATAAGGCTGAACATCTACAACCATCTGATCTTCGACAAAGCTGACAAAAATAAGCAATTGGGAAAGGACTTCCTATTCAATAAGTAGTGCTTAGATAACTGGCTAGCCATATATATAGAAATTAAACTGGATCCCTTCCTTACACCATATACAAAAATCAACTCAAGATGGATTCAAGACTTAAGTCTAAAACCCAAAACTATAAAAACCCTGGTAGACAACCTAGGAAATACCATTCTGGACATAGGAACAGGGAAAGATTTCATGGTAAAGATCCCAAAAGCAATTGCAACAAAAGTGAAAATTGACATATGGGATCTAATTAAACTTAAGAGCTTCTACACAGCAAAAGAAACTATCAACAGAGTAAACAGACAACCTACAGAATGGGAGAAAATTTTTGCAAACTATGCATCTGACAGATATAATATCCAGCATCTGTAAGGAGCTTAAACACATTACAGGAAAGAAACAACCCCATTAAAGAGTGAGCAGAGGACACGAACACTTTTCGAAAGAAGACATAGATGTGGCCAACAAGCATATGAAAAAAATCTCAACACCACTGATCATTAGAGAAATGCAAATCAAAACCACAATGAGATACCATCTCACACCAGTCAGAATGGCTATTATTAAAAAGTCAAAGAATAACAGATGCTGATGAGGTTGCAGAGAAAAGGAAATGTATACATTGTTGGTGGGAGTGTAAATTAGTTCAACCGTTGTTGAACTAAAGCACTGTGGCAGTTCCTCAAAGTGCTAAGAACAGAACTACTGTTCAACCCAGCAATCCCATTACTGGGTTTATACCCAAAGGAATAGAAAGCATTCCACCATAAAGACACATGCACATCAATGTTCATTGCAGCACTATTCACAATGGCAAGGACATGGAATCAACCTAAATGCCTATCAGTGACAGGTTGGATAAAGAAAATATGGTACATATATACCATGGAATACTATGCATCCATAAAAAAAATGAGATCATGTCTTTTTTGGGAACACAGATGGAGTTGGAGGCTATTATCCTTAGCAAACTAATGCAGGAACAGAAAACCAAATGCCAGTTGTTCTCACTTACAAGTGGAAGTTAAATGATGAGAACTTGTGGACACAGAGAAGGGAACAACAGACACTAGAGCCTGCTTGAGGGTGGAGGGTGGGAGGAGGGAGAGGATCAGAAAAAGTAACTATTGGGTACTAGGCTTAGTACCTAGGTGACAAAATAATTTGTACAACAAACCCCCGTGACATGAGTTTACCTGTATAACAAACCTGCACATGTAGCCCTGAACCTAAAGTGAAAGTTTTTTAAAAAAGAATGTGGTGGCTTACGCCTGTAATCCCAGCACTTTGGGAGGCCAAGGCAGGTGGATCACCTGAGGTCAGGAGTTCAAGACCAGCCTGGCCAACATGGTGAAACCCCATCTCTACTAAAAATACAAAAATTAGCCGGGTGGGGTGGTGCATGTCTGTAGTCCCAGCTACTCTGGAGGCCGAAGCAGGAGAACTGCTTGAACCTGGGAGGCGGGTGTTACAGTGAACCGAGATTGCGCCACTGCATTCCAGCCTGGGTGACAGAGCAAGAATCTATCTCAAAAAAGAAAAAAAAAAAGTTTTAATATTGAAAGAGACAATTGCCTGAGAAAATTAGCTTTCAGGATCATACTACATAGTTCCATAAGGAAAGCAGGTAATACTTTTTTTTAAAGCCCTATAATGTCTTGAGGAATCTCAAAAAGGAATTTTAAAATTTGAGGCTAAAACTCCAACTTGGCCAAGTGGATACGTCTGTCTGATGTATAATAATACCTGCTACTCCCAGCTAGGTCTCATTGACAAACCTAAGCGGATCACAGGAAAATTACCAGTGTCTGTAAATAATTAGCTAATCATATTACTGTTATTTAAAGAGGCCTCATTTGGGCAGCAGGCATCTTTCAAAAGAGGAAAGAAATATGCCTGAAATTGAAAAATGTTCCACCTCACTTGTAGTCAAAGAAATACCCATTAAGAGAAATGTCATTTGCCCCATAAATAAATATACTTATTTCAAGATGAGAAATACCAGGGCTAAGAAGCGGCATAATGAGAACTTGCAAACTCTGTTCATGGGTAAGTGACACAGCCTTCCTGGAAATTTATTAGGGAATTGTATCATGGCCCTTTGATCAACAGTTCAACTTCTGGGAACTTTGTCCAATTTCTGATTGTTTATATACATTAAAGGTTTTACAGTGATATTTATAAGAAAAAAAGTCTAGAAATAGCCAAAAGTTCCCATCATATGAGAATGTAAATAATAATTTGTGTTACCTGAAACTAGACTGATTCTTTGGGAAACAAGAAGGCAGGGACAATATAAGTTGATCCCCTTCTATTCTGCTTTTTTTTTTTTTGAGACGGATTCTCGCTTTGTCGCCCAGGCTGGAGTGCAGTGGCGCCATCTTGGCTCACTGCAAGCTCCGCCTCCCGGGTTCACGCCATTCTCCTGCCTCAGCCTCCCAAGTAGCTAGGACTACAGGTGCCCGCCACCACGCCTGGCTAATTTTTTGTATTTTTTAGTAGAGACGGGGTTTCACTGTGTTAGCCAGGATGGTCTCGATCTTCTGACCTTGTGATCTGCCCACCTCGGCCTCCCAAAGTGCTGTGATTACAGGCGTGAGCCACCGCACCCGGCCTCTATTCTGCTTTTGATTGGCCTTTGGTTTTGTTTGTGTATACATACTACTTAATGAATATATGTTGCTGGCCACTCTTCATTTTGTTTTGTAACAGGGGTTTAGAAAGAGTTTTTCCAGGGATTTGATGCTTTCTGCACTTAACAGATGACGATTTGCCATTTGTGCTAATCCAACCAAATCATCTCCAATAATACCATGGGAATGTTGTTAAAGCTCTCTTGGCTAGTGTTCTGTTAATTAGCATTGCCATATTCATCGGGGGCCTGCAATTCCATCATTGGGCCCATTAGATTTAGCCGGTTACACCATCTCAGGGACCACATACATTCTGTGTTGCTGGTGTGATTGGGCCCGTGGGCTATGAAAACGGAGGTTAACTTGGCATTTATCTAGCAAGATGTTCTCAGTCTGACGTTCTTGAATCCATAAGGACCCGACAATTATTTCAAAATGGTCTGTGTATTTTTTGCTGGATTGTAACTTTCGCCGTACTTTCAAAGGCGGTTGCTGATCCAAAATGGTTTGGGGCCATTCACTAGAGGACTTCAGAGACTTCCACTCTGCAGGGAGGAAGCCAGACCTTGAAGGGCAGGGGCTTACCTGGGCAGCAGGGTTTGCTGATGGCCCCTGGGCTTGTGCCCGCAAGACCCGTGTCTGCTTTTCTCCATCCTATGATGTTTTGTGGCCACAATCATGTCCTTTGTTTTGGGGAAGAGGAAATCAGGGAAGCGGATGCATCAGAAAAGATCACCTGGTGATTCCGTGGGAAAAGTGAGCCTGGGACTTTTCTGTCTGTTTTATTGTCGTCCTCACCCTTTCATGTAGCACTGTGGTTCTTTTCCAGGAAAGATGGAGTGGGAAGGATGAGAGGCTGAGCCCTGGCAGTGGGTCCTTTCTTTGTGTGAATTCTTAGATGCTCAATTATAAGTTAAAAAACAAAATTTTAATGATGGGCAACTTTTTTTTCCTAACAACAAAGAATCTTCATTCTCCTTCCCAAAAGAAGTATAAGCCTGTGTTGTGGGCTTAGCATGGGTAAATATTTTCTGCTTGCAATTACTTTATGCTTAGAAATAGTAGGTCTAATGGGTTAACACATACTACTATCATGAAATGTTTCAGGTTTGTCTGCAAGTAAGAATGATTATAGATACGAGATTTCTCCTGAGTCTTTCCCCACTCTGGTCACAGGCAATGAGAGCTCACCAGACTCTCCTTCTCACGGCAGCAACTGCTCCCACTACCTTTTTTGGCAAGCAATGAGCAGTTCAGCCTTTTCTCCACCCCCACCCCACCCCCCACTTCATCCCCAGTCAACCATGAGGCCCTAGTTAAAAGAGGGGCTCCTGGAGGCAAAGATGCTGAGTCGACTCCTGAGTCCACTGCAGACTGGCTGTGTGACCTGGGACCAGTTACTCTGCCTCTCTGTTCTTCAATTTACTCATTCGTTAAAGGGGATTAATCTCTACTTCATGGGGCTTTTGTAAGGATTGAGGACTCATTGAAGATAAGTTCCCAATATTACCTATTAACCAGTGTCTCTGATGTTGTTTTGCTTCTGAGTTTGACATTGACTATTTCATCCCTAAATGAAATAGTCCCCCCTCTACTCCTCCTTCCCAAACTCCACTTCAAAAGTGCCCAAACCTTTCCAATTTCAAGAAACCTCACGAGGTTCTTGTCACTCTGGCACACCCTCACATCCCACAAGGTGCTTGGCAATTGCCTCCGCTAACTGATCATCCTTTTCCCACGCACTAGCATTTTACTTGATGGGTGTGATGGTTGAACTAGCCTTACCAGGAGCGGCAAGAAGATTCATTGCTCACGACGCATCATACTCTGTAATGATTTATTTGGACTAATCTTCCTTGTTGCAGACTCATTAGTGGCTGTCACCAAATGGTGGCTTATTTAACTTTCACAAGGACGTGAGGCATTCACACCCTCCTGTTTCCTACTAGGGAAGGCACTGACGTCAGTTTTCACACATTGGAAGCCTGGGGCCAGGCGTGCATTTTTATTTTGGTGAAGAATTCTTTATGCTCCTTGATGTTCCTATAAAACACAAGCAGAACGCTAGAATTTGCTCGTGGTGCGTCCGAGGTCTGTTGCTCTCTGTGCGGTATCTGCAGGAGATTCAGAGTAGGATCCTTTTGTGACATTGGCAAAAACAAGCGCAACTGTCGGTGATTGTTAGAGTGTGTGTTTAGCCCCTTAGATTTGAGGGAATTTGTGTGTGTCTTCTCTGTCTGCCCTCTCTTAAATTATAAAATCCCCAAGGGGCAAGGTGCAGTGGCTCATACCTATAATCCTAGCACTTTTGGAGGCCAAGGCAGGTGGATCGCTTGAGTCCAGGAATTCAAGACCAGACTGGTCAATGCAGCAAAACCCTGTCTCTACTGAAAAAAAAAAAAAAAAATACAAAAGTTAGCTGGCCATGGTGGCGTGCACCTATAGTTCCAGCTACTTGGGAGGCCGAGGTGGGAGGATTGCTTGAGCCTGGGAGGTGGAGGCTGCAGTGAGCTGAGATTGTGCCACTGCACTCTAGCCTGGGCAACAGAGTGGGACCCTGCTTAATCAATCAATCAATCAATCAATCAAAAGTCTGCAAGAGAAGAGATTTTTCTTTTGGCCCCTATCAACTCTCACTGGAGAGCATCTAGTGCAGGCCTGTATGCTCAGACCAGGCACAGGAAATCAGGAATGTTTGCTGACTGATCTAGGAGAAAGCTGAGGACCCTCCACCATGACCCAGGTTAGTTCATGGACAGCTCTCAGGGACTGCTTTGCTTATGTCTTTAGCATTTGTGAGCTTGAAATCCCAGATGTTTAGTTCAGTTTCTCAACCAGCATCTGCAGCCTGAGTCATCTACATATTGTCTACTCAAAATGTATAAAACCCCTTCCCCCAATGTGTGCACAGAAGTGCACACATGTGCATACATACACGAAGGTGATCTAATATCTCAGGATGGTACTGAGTAGCAGTTGTATGCACCCACACGCACATACACATGCACACATGCACACACACACGTACATGCATACACATGGTGTGGATACCACACAATGAGTGTGGAGCTTCGCCTTGTGTAAATACTGTCTGGGAGGAGTTGCTATCCAATTGAGACAGCTGAATTCTCCACAGGCTGGTTATGTGAGTCAGGGCTACTGACCAGTGGAGGACTGGCATCCTTGCGTTGTGGAGGACCAAAGACCCCCCTTTTCCTAATGGAACTGAGATTCAGCTGTTAGTAAGAGAGAAATGATTGGGAGCTGGGGAGGAGTGAGTCTACCTGCCCTGTACTTTCTTACTTTTCAATCTGTACTTGTAGGATTTGAGCAAATAAATACAAAATGATTTTCTTTCTTTCTTTCTGTTTTTTTTTTTTTTTTTTTTTTTTGAGACGGAGTCTTGCTCTGTTGCCCAGGCTGGAGTGCAGCCGCGGGATCTCGGGTCACTGCAAGCTCCGCCTCCTGGGTTCAAGCCATTCTCCTGCCTCACTCAGCCTCCCGAATAGCTGGGACTACAGGCGCCTGCCACCACGCCCAGTTAATTTTTGTATTTTTAGTAGAGATAGGGTTTCACCGTGTTAGCCAGGATGGTCTCAATCTCCTGACCTCATGATCCGCCTGCCTCGGCCTCCCAAAGTGCTGGGATTACAGGTGTGAGCTACTGCGCCTGGCCACAAAATGATTTTCAAAAGAAGTTTTTTTCTTCTAATGTTTTTAAATTTATTTAAGCATTAAAGGCTTCGTGAATTAGGCAGCATTCAAAACTAGAAGACATTCAGAGAGCTCCGTGTTTTTTGAAATTCAAGCAGGAAATAAAGTATAGAAATAGCTTAATTGGTTACAGTTAGGCATTTACCTTATTTGGACTTAGTCTGATCAGTTGGCTGCCTCTGGTTGGCTGAAGCTTGGCTGCCTGTGATTGGTTGAAGCTCAGCCGCTTGTGATTGACTGAGATCTAGCTATCCTATTACAAAAAATATATACTCCTAATGAGATTTTCATTTGTATACATACTAAGTTAGGTTGTAGTTCACTGCGAAGCAACTCAAAGTACAGCCTCAGACCAATGGCCTTTTGCTTATTTAATTTAACAGACACCTGAGTTATGCTTGCTGGGTTTTCTCTCCCAATAAAGGGACCCTTCATTCTGTCTGTGCCATCACGTGTTTAAGATTCACTCAAGACCTATCTCCTCTAGAAAGCCTTCCCCACAAATCCATCCCATGCTGTGAACTGAAAGCTGGATGCTCTCTCCCACTCTTGTCCTCCCAATTTCAAATCCACACAATTTGGCTCCATTATGAATAAACAAATAGCCCAGGGGACCATGGATATTTAGAATAAGGTTCTAAGAATGACATTCTTCCAATATAAGCCAATTTGTAAAGGCATTTTTAAAAGGAAGGTTTGCTCAGAAAACCCAAGGGCTGGGTGCTACGGATGGCCCATGAATGTCTGTGGCACGTGGGCTGCAGTTCTGCCCTTCTCTCTCCTGTCTAGCTGCATGGTTTCCCATCTCTGCTTGTTGATGTATATCTGATTCCTTCTGATTGTCTGTCCAGCCGCTTCCCTCGTTCCATTGTGGCAGAGCTGCTCGCGCATCACGTGATTTTTCAGATTTAGCTTGCACGTTGGAGTGGCCAATTCTCCCTGGAGAGGGATTCTGATTGGCTGAGCCAGGCGTCTGAATTGGTTCCCATAAATCAGTGTGACCAGGAGAGCAGGGTCACATATTATGTAATTCTGTACGGCTATGGGAGAGGGAACATGATACTAACAATAACCATCAATACAATCAGCACTTAGTACATTCTAAGTACTTTCAGACATTGTTGCATTTAATCCTCACAAAACGCTTGTGACATAGGTAATGCTATTATTCTAGTTTTACGAATCAGAAAACCACTGCACAGAGAGGTGAAACAACTTATTTGGCACTACACAGCTGGCCAGTGGCTGAGTCAGGAAGGGAAGCAGGCAGCATGGTTCTGGCATCTGTGTCTCTAATCATGACTCAACATTGCTTGTCTTAAACAGGCATTGCTAGGATACCACATCTTCATCTTTTTTATCCTTCTTGGTACCTATGCATTGGGCACTGAATGCCTGTTCAGTGATTTTTTTTTTCTTTTTCTTTTTTGAGACAGGGTCTTACTCTGTCACCCAGGCTGGAGGCCAATGGTGTGATCACAACTCACTGCAGCCTCAACTTCCCGGGCTCAAGCCATCCTCCCATCTCAGCCTCCCAAGTAGCTGGGACTGCAGGTGCATACCACCACGCCTAGCTAATTCTTTATTTTTATTTTTTGTAGAGATGGGATTGTGCCATGTTGCCCAGGCTGGTCTCGAACTCCTGGGCTCAAGCCATCTGCCTGCCTCAGCCTCCCGAAGTGTTGGGATTTCAGGCGTGAGTGACCATGCTCAGCCTAGTCAATGAATTGTTCGCTGAATGAATGGATGCCTGAGTGAATGAGAGAACACACAGAAGCATGCATAGTCTACAGGAAGTTTGGAATGGGCAATTGTGACGTGGGTCCTTTTTGGAGAGGAGTGAAGATGGCAGTCCCAGCTACTTGGGAGGCTGAGATGGGAGGATGGCTTGAGCCCGGGAAGTTGGGGCTGCAGTGAGTTGTGATCACACCATTGCCCTCCAGGCTGGGTGACAGAGTAAGACCCTGTCTCAAAAAAGAAAAAGAAGCTTCTTCCTGCTGTAGCTTGCTGGAGAGTTAACGTGCACATGTTCAAAGCGCTGTCTTTCCCCATCTCTCTTTTTTTTTTTTTTTGCTCAGACAAGAGTGAGAATGGTGAGGCATATCAGAGAAAGAAGGCGGCAGCCACTGGCCTTCCAGAGGGTCCTGCTGTCCCTGTGCCTTCTCGAGGGAATCTGGCACAGCCCGGCGGCAGCAGCTGGAGGAGGATCGCACTGCTCATCTTGGCCATCACTATACACAACGTTCCAGGTGAGGTCTTGCCCGTGAGCGTGACAGCCACTGCCTGAAGGTAAAGTCATTTGTCAGCACAGTTGTCTGGCTGGAAAAGGGGAAGGGGCAATTGTGACGTGGGTCCTTTTTGGAGAGGAGTGAAGGTGGCAGTACAAATCTTTCTTGGCTTTATTTTTTGATCGTCATAGATAGATCATCATATGTGAAAACTTCCCATTCCGGTTAGTTTAAACAACTTCTACTTCCTTTTTGTTTACATATTTGTTACCAAGTTATTTGGAGCATAAATTCATAACTGTTACATGATTGCTGTGGAGGGTATCTTTTATAAATACTGGGTATCTCTGGTTCTGCTTAATGCTATTTGAAAACATAGTTGACCCTTGAACAACACAGATCTGAACTACGTGAGTTCACTTACACTCAGATTTTCTTCCGCCTCTGCCCCCTGAGAGAGCAAGACCAACCCCTCCTCTTCCTCAGCTGACTCAATGTGAAGAGGATGAGGATGAGACCTTTATGATGACTCACTTCCACTTAATGAATAGTAAATATATGTTATCTTATGAATTCCTTAATAACATTTTTTCTTGAGATTGCTATATTGTAAGAATACAGTTTATAATACATATAACATACACTATATGTACTAATTGACTATGTTATTGGTAAGACTTCTGGTCAACAGCAGGTTATTCATAGTTAAGTTTTGGGGAAGCCAAAAACTCTCTGCAGATTTTCTACTGCGCAGGGAACCAGCATTCCTAACGTCTGCATTGTTCGAGGGTCAAGTCTATTGAGTTCAGTATAATTTGGCACTGATAATTGCCTTACCTGCCTTCTTTATGTGGGCATCTTTCTGAAATGTTCTTACCAATCCTTTCCTATTTAGCATTTTAGAGTAATTTCTTTTATGTCTTTTTTTTTTTTTAAGACAGAGTCTTGCTCTGTCCCCCAGGCTGGAGTGCAGTGGAGCGATCTTGGCTTACTGCAGCCTCTGCCTCCTGGGTTCAAGTGATTCTCCTGCCACAGCCTCTTGAGTAGCTGGGATTACAGGTGTGCACCACCATGCCTTGCTAATTTTTTGTATTTTTAGTAGAGATGGGGTTTCACCATGTTGGCCAGGCTGGTCTTGAACTCCTGACCTCAGGTCATCCACCTGCCTCGGCCCCTCAAAGTGTTGGGACTACAGGCGTGAGCTACCACGCTGGCCTGTTTTATGTCTTTAGATGTATTTTAATTGGAAAAAAGGACATATTAATGCCTTATTTCAAAAACAATGAATGTTTCTTTTAGAGCAACTAGAAAACATGATTAAGCATAGGAAATGATAAAGATATTTTTAAAAATAAATAAACTGAGGGAACCTGAGCAATTTGGGATGCATTTTGAAATTCCAACTCTCTCACTTCCTAAGGAGGTTATCTTGACGAATTGCTTGAACTCCCTGAACCTTGGTTTTCTCATCTAAGAAATGGGGATAATGCCACAAGTGGCTTACTTAGAGAATTAAATGAGATGCTAAATATACATACAGCTTTCAGTACAGTGCTTGGGACTTACGAGCGCATTGTTGGCATCGATGATACTCCTGCTGCCTTTTCAGCCATGATTTCCTCGATCTTGAGATCTTAAACATGCTGACCCACCTTTTGTTGTTTGGGAATTCGAGTTTGAGCAATAATCTTCCCCAGGGAGCATCCTTGGGTGATACATTTTCTGAGTCCTTGCAGAGTTCATGGTGCCAATCTGTTACTCTAATACAGGAGCAAGAACTTGGCTGGGCAAAGCTTTCTAGTCATGACATTTTTCTCTACAAAGCTTCTGCAGATGTTGATCCCTTGTCTTCTGGCTTTAGTATTGTGGAAGCAAAAAGCATGGCCAAAGTGAGTCTGTTCCTCTGTATAACTTGATATTGTTTTGCTTGCACAATGAAGACTTTTTTTTGTCGTCTTTAAAGTGTGAAAATTCTAATACATATTATATATTCTAGTATATATTAAATCTGCCGAAAGCACTATGTGTTTAATTACTTTTTAAGCTCAGATATTTCTCTAGATAAGAAGCACATTCCTCTGTTATTTCTATCCTAATCTTAGGAATGTCTATCATACGATCATAGGTAGGCCAGTTTTCCCAACATTTTCATCAGTTTATGTGTCTCCCTCATTCCCCTCTTGACCCTTTTCTTTGAGTTATGAATAAGCTTTTTTTAGTTGGTTTTCCAATTTTTTTTTTTTTTTTTTTTATGAGACAGAGTCTCGCTCTGTCGCCCAGGCTGGAGTGCAGTGGTGCAGTCTCAGCTCACTTCAATCTCCACTTCCCGGTTCAAGCAATTCTCCTGTCTCGGCCTCCCGAGTAGCTGGGATTAAAGATGTGTGCCATCATGCCCAGCTAATTTTTGTATTTTTCGAAGAGACGGGGTTTCACCATGTTGGCCAGGCTGGTCTTAAACTCCCGGCCTCAAGTGATTAGCCCACCTCAGCCTCTCAAAGTGCTGGGATTACGGGCATGAGCCACAGCATCTGACCCTGTTGGTTTTCTAGATCTTGGTATTCAGTATGTCTTGAGATAAAGATGGGGTCTTATATGGACCTCACTGCACAAAGATGGCCAAAGTGGGTTAGCCTTGGTGGAAGACCCTGCTCGTGCCCACCCCGTATCTTAAAGAGGTCATTGAAAGACCCCTTGGTCCCCTGCAGAGGACTACTTAGGAGCCCTGACAGCAACTTGTAGCCTGTTAAGTGCTAATAGTTAGAGAAGAGAGGTTACTTGTTTTTCATTCATAATAGTAGCTGTCTTTCTGCCATTTATGACCCCTTCTTTAGCCAATTGAGGAAGAGTAAAGATCTGCCCAGTGGGTTTAGTGTTAAATAAGGTAACTACACTGAGGTGTATTACGGCAACTATTTCTCTGAAGAACAAAAATGTGGTCTAAGGTCCAGACTTTATAGCAATGGAATGAGTATCCAACTTTCCTCTAATGGACCCTTTTATATACCACACCTGCCACTGTACTTGGGTGATTCATTATGCTCAGCTGGAATTATTTCCTGGCTCATCCCAATGGAAGGCCAGGATGGTTCAGAGTTTACTTTCTCAAATGTTTGTTGACTCCAGTGACAACTTGGAATAAAGCCAGAAACAGGAGGAAGATGTGTGGAATGACAGCAATATTTGATGATCTTAAATGAGCATAAATTAAAATCTTACTTCTTCCCTGACAGGAGACCCTATTCTGTGTCTTTGGAGTTTCCAAGTCTAAGTTCAGCCTTTGTCACTTCTATGGTGATGCAAAAGTATTTTTTCAAATAAGGATTGAGGCCAGGTGCAGTGGCTCATGCCTGTAATCCCAGCACTTTGGGAAGCCAAGGTGGGCGGATCACTTGAGGTCAGGAGTTTGAGACCAGCCTGGCCAACATGGCGAAACCCCGTCTCTACTAAAAATACAAAAATTAGCTGGGAGTGGTGGCACATGCCTGTAATCCCAGCTACTTGGGAGGCTGAGGCAGGAGAATCACTTGAACCCAGGAGGCAGAGGTTGCAGTGAGCCAAGATCATGCTACTGCACTGCAGCCTGGGCGACAAAGCAAGGCTCTGTCTCAAAAAAAAAAAAAAAAAAAAAAAAAAAAAGAGAGAGAGAGAGAGAGATTCATTGGTTTGAAAGATGGATTCTCTTATCTCCACACTCCATCCTGGGTGACACAGCGAGACTCCGTCTCAAAAATAATAGTAAAATAAAAAATAAATTGAAATGAGGATTGAGTGCCTTCCAGGAATCTCAATTGAGTTAGATTTCACCAGAAGCATGGTGGTAATAGTCACTGGTTTCAGTAAACTGGAGGACAGCTGGCTTGACTGGATGGAGAGGTTTGAAGGGACATTTCTTTCCCAGTCTTGTCTTTTATTTATTATATTTGAGTATTGTATTCCATGTACTTGGGTTATATCAGTACTAAAACAGACCAAGATCTCTGGCCTTCTATAACCAATATTATAGCAAGGTGAGATAGTCGATGAACATCATCATAATAAATGAATTTTATATTGTGTTAGAAGGTGGTTAGTGATTTAAAAAAAGAAAAAGTTCAACAGGGCAGAGGAGACGGTAGAGTGTTAGAGGAAGAAATTGCCATTTTAAATAGAGTAGGTAGGGAGGGGCTCCTTGAGATGTCCTTGAATTTGAGTCAGTCATGCAGATCTCTGGGAAACAGTGAGTGTTTTAGGCAGAGGGAACAGCCAGTGCAAAGGCCCTGAGGCAGGAGCATGTCTGGCCCCCACAAGGAGTAGCCAAGAGTCCACTGTGGCCACAGCAGGGTGAGCAGCAGGGAGAGAAGTACAAGGTGAGGGCAGGGATGTCAGCCCCTCCTTTAGATGGAACTTGGAGGCATAAGAATGTTTGTTTTTGCTCTGTGTGTGATGAGCCATTGCAGAGTTTTGAAGAGGGTGTGTATGACTTGACTTGAGCTTTGAAAGTTTGTTTCTCTTTAGATACTGAATTGAGATGGGACTTAGGAGAGGTAAGGATGGAAGCAGGGAGGCCTATGTAGAGGCCACTGCAGAATCCAGATCAAAGATGATAGTGGTGCAGACCAAGGTGGTCGTGCTGGATGTGGTGAGAAGGGATCCCTTCCTGGGTCCCGATTGAAGGTGGAGCCAATGGGATTTGCCGATGGATTGGATGTGGGATATGAGAGAAAGCGAGGAGCCAGGAGGGACCCGGAGGTTTCAGGGCTGCCCAGCTGCAGGGATGGAATTGCCATCAACTGAGACGAGGAAGGCTGCAGCTCCAGGGGCTTTAGGGGGACTATCAGGAATTTGTTTTTTGATTGTGAGGTTTGATTGCCATTAGACATTCAAATGGAGATACTGACTAGACAGCTGGATACATGAGTTTGGAGTTGGCTTGCAAAGTCTAGCTAGAGTTATAGATTTCTGAATCATTGGCCCATGAATGTTTTTTGTTTTTTTGTTTTTTGTTTTTGAGACAGAGTCTGCCCTGATGCCCAGGCTGGAGTGCAGTGGCGCAATTTTGGCTCACTGCAACCTCCACCTCCTGGGTTCAAGAGGTTCTCCTGCCTCGGCCTCTCAAGTGGTTGGGACTACAGGCGCATGCCACGACACCTGGCTACTTTTTGTATTTTTGGTTGAGGCAAGATTTTGCCATATTGGTCAGGCTGGTCTTGAACTCCTGGACTCAACTGATCCACCTGCCTTGGCCTCCCAAAGTGCTGGGATTACAGGCGTGAGCCACTGCGCCTGGTCCCTTGGCACATGAATGTTACTTAAACCCCTGACACTGGATGAAGCCACCAAGGGTCTAACTACAAATAGATGTGTCTCCAAAGACCCACTGTGGCTCATTCCTCAAGTCTTCAGCTCCTAATCCTGTCTAAAGAGAAGTGAACTCCCTCACCATCACTGTCAAGCAGCTTCATGTCTTTGATGAGGACCATTTTAAGAGCCTGTTTGGAGCCAACTTACCTTTGAAAAGGTCTCTTCTTTAACACTATCCTTTATAGTGTATTAAAAATTTAACTAGAGCTTTGACATTCCCTGAGACTCTGGGTTTTTAAGACAGACTTTTCACAATGACTAAATGGAGAATCGATTTTTTTTTTTGAAGTTTTTTGTCTTTGCTATTTCAGTTTAGTATGTCCTGAGGATGACATTTTGCTAAAAAAAATTTTTTTTTGGAGTAGAAGGAAAATGGAAGGCTTGTTAATAGTAGCCTATCTCCCGGAGGTATCCAGAGTGTGAGGCCACACCCGAAGGCATATGCACACGTCTGGGGCTCTTGGGTTAATATTTAATACACATGTGCAAGGTCAAATAGTTCTTAAGCTTCTGTGGTTCACAGTTGTCCTGTGAATCTGATAAGAGCTATACACCATCTCACAAGAGGATGTTGTACACATGTCTTAGTCTGTTCAGGCTGCCATTACAAAATGCCATACAATGGGTAGCTTAGAAACAACAGAAATTTATTTCTCGCAGTTCTGGAAGCTGGAAGCCTGAGATCGGGCTGCCAGCATGGTCGTGGTCAGGTTCTGGTGAGGGTCCTTCTCCGGGTTGCAGGTGACTGTCTTCTCGTTGTATCCTCACATGGTGGAAAGAGGGCACTCTCTGGAGTCTCATTTCATGAGGTTGTTAATCCCATTCATAAGAGCTCCATCTCACGACCTAATCACTTCCCCAAGTCCCCACCTCCTAATACCATTCATTCCCTAAGTCCCCACCATCCTAATAACAATACCATTGGGGATTAGGTTTCCAAATATGAATTCTGGGGAGACATAAACCTTGAGACCACAGCCACACACAATATTTTGCAGACAATTCTGGGTGTTTAGACTTTATGGAGTCTATCCACAACCCTAGAACAGGAAAGAACCCCTCCCCAGGCCGGGCGCGGTGGCTCACGGCCTGTAATCCCAGCACTTCGGGAGGCTGAGGCAGGCAGATCACGAGGTCAGGAGATAGAAACCATCCTGGCCAACATGATGACACCCCGTCTCTACTAAAAATATAAAAATTAGCTGGGCGTGGTGGCACGTGCCTGTAATCCCAGCTACTTGGGAGGCTGAGGCAGGAGGATCACTTGAACCCAGGAGGCAGAGGTTGCAGTGAGCCGAGATCGCACCATGGCACTCCAGCCTGGAGGCAGAGCAAGACTCCATCTCAGAAAAAAACAAATAAGCAAAAAACCCTCCCCTTTAGAGGACAAAGAAAAGTATAGTTGTGCAATTGAAATGTCTTAGGAAGAAATGGTAATGACTGATGCAGACCAGCAGATGCAGGCAGGCGCAGTAAAAAGAGCACTAAAAGGCAGACTCCAGAAACAGAGTGCAGACACCACCCGCCTCCTTCTAAGCTACTTCCGTGGCGCCTGCCTGGGTGCATCTGTGGGGGTGGTCTAGGGTGTTTGTGTCTGCTGCAGAAGGACACCCTGAGGAAACAACATGGTTTTTTAGAAAACCAACCCGAGACTGCAGCCTTTTGAGCATACTGTCTCTTGAAGTGCTGTCCATGCAGTATCATACAGATTGAAGGGCTCTGAGCCTTCCAAAGATTCCTGGCCCTTCTGTTTTTGAATGGCATTAAAAATCACCTAGCAATTGAGTTCCTACTAATCACTTATCATGAGTACCTTATGGTCTCAACAGTGAACTGCACCATTGCTTTGTATGGGAGAAAGTTAAATTGGAAGCTTAAAGAGATTCTAGGGGTTATCTCATTCAAACATTCATTCATTTGAAAATTTAGGGGATTGTGGTAAATTATTGTTATGGCTCCTTCTAGCCTTAGCATTGGATGATAACTGTGAAGAATCATAGAAATATTTATTATTAATTTCATTTATTTAACAAAGTTAATCACTCCTTCCTTTGTGCTGTCTTGCTGTATCCTTTATCTTCTGTTACCATAATTATCACTCTGACTTACAATTACCTGTTTGTGTGTTTTATTTATTTATTTATTTTTAATTTTTGTCAGTAACATAGGTATGTATATTTATGGGGCCATGAAATACATATGCGCGTGCGTGCACACACACACACACACACACACATAGTTTTTTGAGACAAGATCTCTCTCTGTCACTCAGGCTGGAGTGCAGTGGTGTGATCATGGCTCACTGCGGCCTCAACCTTGGGCTCAGTTGATCCTCCCACCTCAGCCTCCTGAGTAGCTGGGACTACAGGTGCATACCACCACACCCAGCTAATTTCTTTTTTTTTTTGTATTTTTTGTAGAGACAGGGTTTTGCCATGTTGCCTAGGCTAGTCTCGAACTCCTGGGCTCAATAGATTCTCCCGCCTTAGCCTCCCAAAGTGCTAGGATTACAGGTGTGAGCCACCTCGCCTGGCCTGCATGAAATATTTTGATACAGGTATGTAATGCATAACCCATCAACTTAAGCATTTATCCTCTGTGTTACCAACAATCCAGTTATACTTGTAGTTATTTTAAAATGTACAATTATTATATTATTGACTATAGCCACCCTGTTGTGCTGTCAACTACTAGGTCTGACTCATCTATTTTTTTTTGTACCTATTAACCATCACTACTTTCCCCCGACTCCCCGACTGCCCTTCCCAGCCTCTGGTAAACATCCTTCTCCTCTCTATCTCCATGAGTTCAATTGTTTTAATTTTTAGCTCCCACAAATAAGTGAGAACATGAGAAGTTTGTCTTTCCATGCCTGGCTTAGTTCACTTCACATAATAACCTCCAGTTCCATCCATGTTGTTGCAAATGACCGGATCTCATTCATTTATGTGGCTGAATAATACGCCATTGTGTGTATGTACCATATTTTCTTTATTCATTCAACTCTTGATGGATGCAATTACCTGTATTTAAACATGTTTATTTGCCCCTGATAGATGGAGCTTCTTGCAAGAAGTTCTATACTGCGTTCTTTTTGGGGGGCCCAATGTTATAACACATACTGAAGCTTTGATGTATTCAATATGTATTATATACTTGAGCACCTAGAAGAACTGGTGCATTGGGTACCTGCCCTCCATTCTAAGAGAGGAGGGGCTGTTTGAGAGTTAGGTGTCCTAATTTTTTATTTTTTATTTTTTGAGACGGAGTCTTGCTCTGTCACTCAGGCTGGAGTGCAGTGGCGCCATCTCAGCTCACTGCAAGCTCCGTCTCCCAGGTTCACACCATTCTCCTGCCTCAGCCTCGCCAGTAGCTGGGACTACAGGCGCCCCCCACCACGCCTGGCTAATTTTTTGTATTTTTAGTAGAGACGGGGTTTCACCGTGTTAGCCAGGATGGTCCTGATCTCCTGACCTTGTGATCTGCCTGCCTCGGCCTCCCAGAGTGCTAGGATTACGGGCATGAGCCACTGCACCCAGCCAATTTTCTTTCTTTTTGAGATGGAGTCTCGCTCTTGTCACCCAGGGTAGAGTGCAGTGGCGCGATCTCAGCTCACTGCAACCTCCGCCTCCTAGGTTCAAGCTTCTCCTGCCTCAGCCTCCTGAGTAGCTGGGATTACAGGCACCCACCACCACGCCCATCTAATTTTTGTACTTTTAGTAGAGGCGGGGTTTTGCCATGTTGGCCAGGCTGGTCTCAAACTCCTGACCTCAGGTGATCCGCCCACCTTGGCTTCCCAGAGTGCTGGGATTACAGGTGTGAGCCACCACTCCCAGCCGCCTAATTTTCTTTCTACATTGTCCAGGTGGGCCAAGGGAGGACATTGACTCATGTGGGTCCTGATGATACATTGGCAGACTCTTGCTGCCTTTTGTGTTTGAAATTATTTTAAAGGTCCAGAGAAGAGGGTAGGTGAATTCCATGCTTTTTATTTTCCTCTCAATAGTATCAAGAGCCAAGTTTGTTTTGCTGGTTGTTGCTATGACATAGAGGCCTGGGGACCACTGTTTGTGTTGCTAGAACCACACAACAGTTGGTTTTGGTCATGTGGCCTGTCCTCATTGCCAGCTCCTGATAATGGCTTTCAAAGAAATGCTTGGGATTTTAATCCAAAGTGATTTTTTGTTTCAGGGAACAGGAACCCAAATTTAGACATGAAAATGTTCACAGTGGTTGGTTATTCCTGGGTGATAGGATTGCAGATGACTTTTATTTTCTTCCTGTTTTTGTGAGATTTATAACTAAGCTTTCCTGTAGTAAATATTTATGACTTGCGATCAGATAAAAATGCTTTTTTGGAAAGGTGAAATTCTTGCCTTTTTTAAGCTTGCCACATTAAACGTTAATGTCTGCAGCACCACGTTGGCGTGGTTCTCACTCCAGCTGCATCAGACTCAGTTCATCAAGGAGTTACCATCACCTAACCACTTCAACACCTCAACCCTCAACTTATGCACAGAAGTAGAGAGATGTTATTCCTTTATGCTAGAGATCATCTTACTGGGGATGTTTTAATATTTAGACAAGTTAGAAGCAGAATGAAGGACTGCCTTGGTTTTCTTTGGCTGGTGTAACCAATTATCACAAACTTAGTGGCTTAAAACAATCCAGATTTATTCTCCTGCAGTTCTGGAGGCCAGAAGTCTGACATCAGTTTCACTGTGATAAAGTCAAGGGGTTGGAAGGGCCGTGTTCTTGCCGGGGGCTCTAGGGGATAATCCATTCCTGGCCTCTTCCAGCTTCTGCAGGCTGCAGGCATTCCTTGGCTTGTGGCCACATCACTCCAATCAGTACCTCCAGGATCACTGCTTTCTCTTCTGTGCCAAATCTCCCTCTGCCTTTTTATAAAGATTCTTGTGGTTGCATTGAGGGACCACCCAGATTATCCAGGATAATCATATCTGAAAAATCTCCTTTGTCATGAAAGGTAACATTCACAGGTTTCAGGAATGAGGACCTGGATATATTTGGAGCCATCATTTGGCCAACCACAGAGACCAAAGGTATCTTCTGAATGCAGGCCAGAGATTCTTAGCTTGAGTTCTGAAATGTCTTCAGCAGCCAGCATTCCTTTATAAGTCTAAGCCTGGCTCTTATGGAGTCTTAGTCTCACCCTGGGACTCCCATGGGCTATCAGCTGTGTCATCCTTATTTCCCATCACTGGCTTTCTGTGTTTGAGCCTCTAAAGAATTCCTAAGTCTTAATGAGCCCATTCAGCAACTTACTCCCCTGGTCCTTCATCAAGTGAGAGTTTTGGGGTGTTAGTAAAAGACGACGTAATATTTACTTAGCTTATACATGTGCAGTGGGGATGGCAGGGAATGGGGGAGAGTGCTGCCATCCATATCTCATGGGCCCTTTTCCCCTGCCTGCCTCCACTGCTATCATAACTCCATGTTATCCCTCAGTTCTTCGTGATGAGCCAATTCACAGTGACAGACGTTTGTGGCTTGTGATTATAGCTGACATTCTTTTTCTCAAGGTCAGTGGCATATTTAAATGGTTACTGACCCTACTCCATCTCACACATGATCTGTCGCTCAATCTCTCTCTTTCTCAAGCAACTTTATTGTGTGGCATTTTCTCATCCCCACGCTCACTGGTAGTTAGGAGGTCTGTCAATTACACTTCCACACTGAGGAAAGAGTCCCTGTTAACTTTTTTAAAAGAATGTGATATGATTCACATACCATAAAATTCACCCTTTTAAAGTTCACAATTCAAGGCCAGGCACAGTGGCTCATGCCTGTAATCCCAGCATTTTGGGAGACTGAGGTGGGTGGATCGCTTGAGCCCAGAAGTTGGAGACCATCCTGGGCAACATGACGAGACCCCCATCTCTACGAAAAATTAAAAAACTAGCCAGGTGTGGTGGTGCACGCTTGTGGTCCCAGCTACTTGGAAGGCTAGGGTGGGAGGATTGCTTGAACCCTGGAGGTCAAGGCTGCAGTGAGCCGTGGTTGTGCCACTGCACTCCAGCCAAGGTGACAGAGCAAGACCTTGTCTCAAAAAAAAAAAAAAAGAAAAGGAAAGAAAAATAAATTTCACAATTCAGTGGTTTTAGTATATCTGAAAGGTTGTGCAACCACCATCACTATCTTTTTAATTTTTAATTTTAATTTTTTTCTTCCAGTAGAGACAAGGGTGTTGCTGTGTTGGCCAGGGTGGCCTCGAACTGCTGGCCTCAAGAGAACCTCCTGCTTCAGCCTCCCATAGTGCTGAGATTATAGGTGTAAGCCACTGTACCCAACCTACCACTATTCCTGAATACTCTCATCACCCTGTAAAGAAACCCCACACTCTTTGAGCAGTACCTCTGAGGAAAAAAAGAAACTGCATGCTTATTAGCAGTCACTCCCCATTCCTCCCTCCCTCCAGCCCCTGCACTAATCTACTTTGTCTCTACAGTTTCCCTAACCGGGACTGACTTTCATTTAAACGGTATCATGTAATATGTATGTTTTTGTGTCTGGTTTCTTTCACTTGGCATGATGCTTCCAAGTTTCGTTGATGTTGTAGCATGTATCAGTAAGTCTTTCTTTTTCTGGCCAGATAATACTCTATTCTATGGATACACCGTGTTTTGTTTACTGTTTCATCACTTGATGGACATTTGGATTGTTTTTACTTTTTTGGGTGTTGTAAGTAATGCTGCTATGTGTGTTTATGTCTTTGTATGGACCTGTGTTCTCTTGGGTACATACCTTGGAGTAGAATTGCTGGGTCATATGGAAACCTTTGAACTCTTTGAAGCCAGTTCTTTTTGTTAAGTTCCTTCCCATTCATTCCATCCAGCAGAGTCCTTTGACACAAAGGGATAATCTCTGTCCCACCTACCATGGCACTTGCTTGGGGTGTCTATGAGTCCTGCTTTTTTTTTTTTTTTTTTTTTTGAGCAATATACATTTTTATAGTACATTTTTAAAAAATCTAGTGAATTTTCCTCCAAGTCAATAGACAGGAGAAAAATAAAGTTGTTTTTTGAGCCCTGCTTTCCAACGAGGTGGCAGTTGCTGTGGATTTTGATTTTGTGTGGAATATGGAGGATCTGTTGGAATGCTGAAAAGTCTGCGGACAGCTGCAGGTGGCCAGGGAGGCTGCTGCTGCTGACATTGGTGATGTGAGCCTGGACCTTCAGCTTGCCCTTGTGCAGTCTCCCCGTGCTGCAAAGGGTGGCTTTGGAGGGGCAGCAGTGCGAGACCAGGGCCCCGACTTGCAAGAAAGGAGCTACTAGCCATGAGAAAGAACATGTTGATTTTTCATTTTCCTGGGGTAAAGACTGAGCAGAAAATTCTACTGTTAGGTACAGACCTTTCCAGGAGAAACCGTGATGCAACAGCTTCTGCTTCACATTGCTCTGCTTCCAGAAACTGGAGGGGCCTTCTCAGTAGCCGGCGACTCAGGCTCAGTTAATGAGGAAGCAGAACACCACACAAAGGCATGCATCATTGACCATAATAAAATATACCAATAATGCTAAAGGCTGCCACTTACGGGGGCCTTTCAAGGTTCCAGACGCTGTATAAAGTGCACCACATACATGATTTAGATATTTGCGTCCCTGTTTTACATTTTAGAAACTGAGACCTAGAAAGTTTAAAGATCAAGCCCAAGACCAGGCACGGTGGCTCACACCTGTAATTTCAGCACTTTAGGAGGCCGAAGCAGGTGAATCGCTTGAACCTGGGAGTTCAAGACCAGCCTGGGCAACGTGGGGAAACCCCATCTCTACAAAAAATACAAAAATTAGTGGGGTATGGTGGCGCGTGATTGCAGTCACAGCTACTCGGGAGGCTGAGGCAGGAGAATCGCTTGAGCCTGGGATGTGGAGGCTGCAGAAAACTGAGATCGTGCCGCTGCACTCCAGCCTGGGTAACAGAGCGAGACCCTGTCTCAAAAAAAAAAAAGCCCGAGGCCACACAAGCAATGATGGGTACAGCTTAACTCACACTCTGTCTCCGTGTGTTGTGTCTCACTGGTGAGCTCTGTGTTTCTTTTCTTCCCGTGGATCACACTGTTTTTCAGAGAGAGTTACAGAGAAGTTCAGGAAATGCTTCTTGCTTTTCTTAAGCTTGCCACATTAAATGTTAATGTCTGCAGCACCACGTTGGCGTAGTTCTCACTCCAGATGCATCGGGCTCAGTTCAGCAAGGAGACTTGGGCAGGGAAACCTGGGCAGGAAGCCTCACCGTACACAGGGCCCACCACTGTGGGTGCTCTAGGAGATGTGTAAAATGAATGCCTGTGAGGCCCCTGCACACCTATCACCACCACTGATGCTCCAGGACCCAAGCAGGTGGTCGCCCACAGGCATAGGACAAGCACAACCTTTAGAGCAGAAAGGCCAAGACTTGGATCCTGGAGCCACCAAATGCTTTACTAGGTAGGTAACCTTAGGTGAGATCATGAGAGTCTTAGCTTTCCCAGCTGTAAAATGCAGATAATAGCTACTTGGCAGTTCATTATTGAGACGACAGCAGTAGCAACAAGCAGGGCCACCCACTGTGTTATCTGCTATTCAGAGTGTATCGTTGGGAGGCCGAGGCATGCAGATCACTTGAACTCAGGAGTTCAAGACCAGCCTGGGCAACGTGGCAGAACCCCGTCTCTACAAAAAATACAAAAATTAGCTGGGCGTGGTGGCACATGCCTATAGTCCCAACTACTCAGGAGGCTGAGGCAGGAGAATCACTTGAGCCCAGGAGGTAGAGGCTGCAGTGAGCCGTGCTTGTGCCACTGCACTCCAGCCTGGGTGACAGAGCAAGACCTGTCTCAATAAAAAAATAAAGAGTATTGTGGTTCCTAGAACACAGCAGGACCTGGAAAACATTAATTCCCCTCCACCTCCTCCTCTTCCCCCAAACTCTACCACCCACCTACTTTTGCCTTCAACTTGCTTTGATCCTCAAAAATTGTCTGGTTCTGGTTGTGGAGGTCTTAAATGGGGACGTCACAGATGGCTTTAATTTTCATCTCCAACAGGTTACATTTGAAGATGCTTCTCATTTACTGCAGGAGTTTGAAAACATTGTAATATTCTCCTTTAATTATCAGTATCTCAGTGGGAAGCCTGACATTATAATTAGCACAGGCTCCTACATGGGATGACATTTTGCTCAACATATCATGTTCCTGGTGTGCACTGAGGCAGAAGCCGGTAGCACACTTCTAAATGACGCTGTTGGATTTGAGCATGAGAGTTGGCACCAACGCCCAGAGGGCAAAATCACAACTCTGGGAATCCTCCGTGATCCCAAATAAAAGTGGCAGGGAAACTTTTAGACATTCTGTCATCTCCTGCACAGGCGACAGACGCGCAGATGCCTGAGCCCTACTTTCTGGCCTTCAGATCAAGGAAGCTACAGCCAGAGTGAAAGTCTAATGCTGCGCTAGGATTGGGGTTAAAATCAAGACTCATTTCCACGTCGATTGTATTATGCCATCCTCCTACCTATTATGTAAATTAAAGAGAAAACTAAAGCAAGAGAATTTGAATACATTTTTGTATTAGGAAGCAAAGTTTCCAATAACTTCCAGTTGTCTTTCTCCCATGGCCAGGTATTGGCTAGAACATGGTTTAATACAATCTTTTATTTTATTTTATTTTATTTTATTTTATTGTTTTGTTTATGGAGTTGGAGTCTCACTCTGTGGCCCAGGCTGGAGTGCAGTGGCGCAATCTCAGCTCACTGCAACCTCCGCCTCCCAGGTTCAACCTATTCTCCTGCCTTAGCTTCCTCAATAGCTGGAATTACAGGCGTGTGTCACCATGCGCAGGTAATTTTTGTATTTTAGGTAGAGATGGGGTTTCACCATATTGGCCAGGCTGGTCTCAAACTCATGACCTCAGGTGATCCACCCGCCTCAGCTTCCCAAAGTGCTGGGATTATAGGCGTGAGCCACCGTGCCCAGCCTAGTAAGATCTTTTAGACTTGCTGTGTCCAATTCCATAGTCCCTGGCCACCTGTAGTTCTCTAAATTTACATGAGTTAAACTGGAATAAAATGCAAACTTTAGCTCCTTAGCATGACTTAGCCACACATCAAATACTTGTATCTAGTGGCTACTGTGTTGGACAACACAAGATGTAGAACGCTTCCATGATCACAGGAAGTTCTACTGGATGACACTGCACTAGACCCTTAGCAAAAAAAAGTAACTTCACAAATTGTTTGTTGTGTAGTGCCTACCCAAGCTTGCCTTGGGAGGAGTTCCATTTCTGGAAGACAGTGTAAGAGAGCTGTTCTCAGTCATGGGGTATGTCCTACATATATTGTGAATAAAATAATTTAAATGTCAGCCTTTTCACATTGTTTCTGATAAATTCAGGATGCTGCAGAGTCATCCTGTGATACCATTCTCTTGCTCCTGTTGGTTCTGAGTTTTTTTCTTATTTCCTGAGTTGGGGACTGAAGTGGGTTGCGAGTTGTGCCGGGACTTGTGTAGCAGGCTCGAGAGCATCATGATGTCTGATGTCGGGGGATGGAAGGAGCTGCACAAGGGCTGAAATAGTAGCTCATCATCTTGTCCTCTGGTGTTATGTGTTATCTGCCAGTAGACAACCTCTCCTCACCCCAGCCCAAGCCAACATCATTGGTCTATGTCAGCTTAGCCCCTCTCACAGAACAGCCTCCTGTGACTTAACTCAGGTTTGAAAGAAAGGATGTTAACCGTCAGATGAAAATCACTGGAGTCTTTATTGTCAGCTTTCTGCTAGAGCCATTGTCCTGTTCATCCCCCAATGCCTCTAGATAAAACTTTTAGAATACACTGCCTGGAAAAGCTTTGCCTCCCTGTGGGAATGACAGACATTGATCGTGTAGACCTTTTTTTATTCTTTGGCTGCTAGGAAGCACAGCACTTCATTTGCTGCTTTGTGATAAGGATAAAGTGCATTCTTAAGGTCTGAATATCTGAATATCT